>NC_000010.11:51203701-51355216 GCF_000001405.40 Homo sapiens
TTTCAAATCTGTAAGGCAATATTTTCTTCAAAGAGTTGTTCTGAGGGACAATTGAAATGATGTGAGTAATTTTCTTTAAACTTACAAAATGAATGTTAGTAGACTTTACTCTTGCTGATATTTCCTCCTCAGGGACAAAACCTTTCTTTTTCTTATATTTCTTTTCTTCAGCATCTTTCCTGTTACACAGTAACTCTTCATTAAAGTCTCTCATATGGATGGATGAATGAATTTTTGCCTAGGGTGATATAAGTGACAGTCTGTATACTTCATTCTCCTTTGGCCTTTCTGAAATAAGAAATAGGAAAGAAAAGATTTATTGGAAAGTTTTTTGATATGAAGAACTATTTTCTTCTTCTCCATCTGTTTTGACTTTAGTACCTAGAAACTTATGTATTTCATTTAGGATGAGTGAAATTCATTTCCCCCTCTTTATAAAGGATTGTATTATTTCTGATGGGCCTCTGGATTCTATTATTGTTATTTAAACAACAGTATCCTGTTGAGGTAGTTGCAGCTGGCTTAGCACATGGAAAAACTGTTGTTGCATCTTTTATTTTTACTCTTCGGTATTTCCTGAAAATGATGGGAAGATGAAAAGTGACCTCCTCTTTGGTATTTTTTTTCCATTGGAACAGCTTATTTAGATTATTTGAGTAGACCTCCGTGTGTGTGTGTGTGTGTGTGTGTGTGTGTGTGTACACATTTCTTGTGCTCCCATTTTTTTTCCCATCCTTCAGGAAAGGATTTTGATGCTTGATTACATTTTCCAAATTCTCTAGTATACTTGTTCTATGCTTTTTGTCAGGCCATTTTTAACAGGATCTTTTCATAGTTAGAGAATCTCTCTAGCCTCATAGCTACCCTGCTGCCGGTAGACTAGACAGTTATAATTATTTCCGCAGGTCAAAAACCTGTGGATATTACGGATTGAAAAAATTGCCAGGTGAGTCCAGATTAGAAATTGCCTCTCTAGCTTCAAATGGGGGCTTTTCACCAGACCCCAGATCCCAGGGAACTTTATTATGTGGCAAAACTCCTTAATAGAGTGTCATCCATTGTCCTTGAGGCATAGTGAGATGTGAATGTGCTTGTCTTTCAGTTTGATTTTATCAGTTCATGAAAGCACTGAATAGATCATTTTGGGGCCTGAAGGGATTGGAGCTGAGTTTCTGTCACTTGTAGCTAAGAATATTAGCAAATGCACTGTATGACTCAATGTTGTAACCAAAAGAGGCTATTGCCATTTCTGAGCATGGTGTGTACTTTCCCATGCTGTTGGATTTGCTTAGATTATTGCCTTTCCTACATTATACATTCTCATATTTAACCTGAAATCCTAACTATCCTCAAAATATAGCTCAGATATTATCCCCTCTATTAAACCTTTCTTTGTTTCATAAGGAAGAATTTTCATTTTCTTTTCTTTTTTTTTTTTTTTTTTTTTTTTTTTTTTGAGACAGAGTCTTGCTCTGTTGCCCAGGCGGGAGTGCAGTGGTGCAATCTTGGCTCGCTACCACCTCTGCCTCCCAGGTTCAAGCAATTCTCCTGCCTCAGCTTCCAGAGTAGCTGAGACCACAGGCACTGCCACCATGCCCAGCTAATTTTTCCGTTTTTGTGAGATGGGGTTTCACCATCTCGGCCAGGCTGGTCTCGAACCCCTGACCTCCAGTGATCTGTCTGCCTCGGCCTCCCACAGTGCTGGGATTACATGTGTGACCCACCGTGTCCACCTTGGGAATTTTCATTTTCATCTAGGCTTCATAGCAATTTCCACCCTGCCTCCTGACATTTCGTATGACTTTTCACATTTTGTATTGGGTAATAGGGCTTTTTTTAAACTTTTATTTCTTGAGATAGAGTTTTGCTCGTTGCCCTAGCTGGAGTGCAGTGGTACAGTCTCGGCTCACTGCCACCTCTGCCTCCAGGGTTCAAGTGATTCTCCTGCCTCAGCCTCCTGAGTAGCTGGGACTAGAGGCGCTGCCACCACACTGGCAAATTTTTGTATTTTTAGTAGAGATGGGGTTTCACCATGTTGGCCAGGCTGGTCTCAAGCTCCTGGCCTCAGGTGATCCACCTGCCTCAGCCTCCCAAAGTGCTGGGATTACAGGGAATTATAGGGTTTTATTTTTGCATTTTTAAAAACCTGTTAGATTATAAATCTAGATTTTTCTGTACCCTTCTCACTTAAGTGAGAATTCTCTAGTATACTTGTAAGGGTATACTAAGTGAGAAGGATAAACAGCAAATAGGAGACTGGTAAACATGTGTGGATGGGTGGTTAAATTTTCTGCCTGTAATGAAATTACATTCATAATTTACATTCAAAGTGTTTTAAACAGAAGCAGCAGGGTAAACAGTCAATTTTAGTTTTTCAAAGTTCTGTTTTCTGACTTTTCTTGTATTCGTTCTGGTGAAGGTAGCTTACATGCTTACTTTGTAATTCTGTTTTTAAACACATCATAAACTGTGAGGGGCTACTTGCCTGTCAAGAATGGAGCCATTACCGGCTGGGCGCGGTGGTTCACGGCTGTAATCCCAGCACTTTGGGAGGCCGAGGCGGGTGGATCACGAGGTCAGGAGTTCAAGATCAGCCTGGCCAAGATGGTGAAACCCCGTCTCTACTAAAAATACAAAAAAAATTAGCCAGGCGTGGGGGTGGGCGCCTGTAATCCCAGCTACTTGGGAGGCTGAGGCATAGAATTGCTTAAACCCGGGAGGCGGAGGATGTAGTGAGCCGAGATCGCTCCACTGCACTCCAGCCTGGGTGACAGAGCAAAACTCCATCTAAAAAAAAAAAAAAAAGAATGGAGCCAAAAAAGTATTTTCAGTTTTCTTAAGCCAGAATGAAAACTTAAAACCAATCTTAGGCCAAACATACACTTCCAAAAGATCACACATTGAGCTGTACAGGATTGTGGAAACTAGAGGCCAGCATAGAGCTAGCATCTGTGCCCACTTTTTCTTGGGAAATAGAGATATTGATTCATCTTTGCCTTGATCACTCTTGTGTGACTTTTTCAACTCAGATCATTGTTGCTTAAATTGAGAGCAGCTTTTTCAGAAACTGAAACTCAACTGCAGTTATAGCTTTTTGGCAGGACTTTACTAATTGGGACAGGGAGGCGATCACTTGTTACAACATAAATAGAATCAGAAATCAAGTGATAGTAGTGATAGTATATCATTCATATGATACATTCAGCCTATATATATGTACATGCCAGGAAAGTGTGAAATTTCAGTTTTCTTATTGGAAAATGAATCGTATTTGTTAGTTTTTTTTAAATTGTAGTTTGCAGTTTTTGAGTAATATTTTTGACTGGCTATTTCTTGGTACATTTTATGAAGAACTTACTATTATATATTCTCTTTTTGGTAAGTGAAACAATTTCTGATTTCAATTGCCAGAGAGCCTGAAGTTGACAAGTCAGGCTGGGAATTAGCCAGGGCATGATAACTGGAAGAAGGGATTATGTTCTACATCATTAATATCTGCTTCCAGGCTTTATAATATTATCCAGGCTGCCAGTTTTCTTAAAAGGAAAAAAATTATCTTGATTAACTTTCAGCTGTTTCACCCTTCCTTACGTTCAAGACTTTGGTTTCTCTGAGAAGAAGATTTCAAAGGACCACTCTTATTCACTAAATCTCTTATTATGTACCTGGGTGAATAGAATGAAAAGACGAGAGTGTCTAAGTCCTTCACCAGCATCCCATCCTGCACTGGCTCTGACTGTCTCTCAAGACATGCTTCAGCAAATAACATTTGTGGTTACCTCGCTGGTGCCTGCCTTATTATTATTTTTTTTTAATTCTCTCGGGCTTGTGGAGTTGGTTTTCTTATAGCCATTCCAGAGATCTACTGGAATGCATTCAACTCCACTCAGGCACCAGGATTCAGCTCTGAAAAGTGTACAGCTTCCCATTCTCACAATATACTGCCCCCATTTCCTCTACTTGTGATGATCCAAACGTTCCTTTAGATTTACTTTCCTGGCAGATTACAAGTAAGTGGAAGCCAATGGCAACTTTATAACGTTTTTCTACTTTCTGGAACTCTTAAAGAAAATGTGTAGGGTTCTCTCTAATTCTACTACTTGGTTGTTTTCAGTACTGTCTTATATTCCTACCTCCATAAACCTCAGTCAGAAGTAATTTCTCTCTTCTAATAAATTTACTATTTCTTCCTTGCATGATAGTTACAGTGTAGACATCTTATCTGAGTCCTCTCTTCAAAGGTAAGTTTTTAAAGGGACTATTTCTTATTCATGGTGTTATTATTAACTGAATGTCTTTGATGCAGTAGGGACTCTGTCTTTGTTGAATGCAGTTTAACTTCCATTAAAACAAAACATGCTCTTCCTTTTCTTTCACTCTGCCCAAAGTGTCAATTACCTAGGTAAAAAATAGTTTAAATGTATGTTATTGTTTCTTCCACTAAAGAAGTAGAAGGTACAGTCTTTGTCCATTAAAACTCCACTGGTAGAAAAATAAGCTAACTGTGGAGTGTGTTTATATGGAGTTTTTATATGTGTAGATGATGAAAGAATAATAAGAACAAAATGTTAGCACAAAATGTGATACCGGTTATGTAATATTTGGTAATTCCAATATGGTAAAATTGTTATGGTTTAGGAAAGTTGAGGAAGGAACCAGGATACTACTAAGGAAGTTCAGGTTCTGGGGATTCATACTGCATAATATTCTAATTTTTCCCAAGTAGACCTGGACTGAGGATTAGGTAAGCACAGCCCCATTGTTACCAGTTGGTATGTAGGAATGCATGTTCTTAGCAAGACATGAAGCTTCCTTTCTGTAATATTAAGGATGAAAAGGGTTAGGGGAGTTCAGAAATGAGAGAGAAGCCACTTATTTCCTTGGATAATGGGAAGGGGACTTCAAAATGCAAAAGGCTTAGTGGAGTTTGATTTGAGAAGGTACCAAAAAGAAATTGATCATGTTCAGAGTACAGAGGATGAAAGGGAAGAAAATCAGGGAAGGTCCTGGAGCTGGGCCAGTGGGATTTTTGCCATCACAATTCTGGACATGTTCTGCTGGTGATGCCTTTGACATGTGTTAGTATTTTGACATGTTGGGAAATACTCCTAGGATTTTAGATTCTCACTACCTGCCTCGAATGGAATAGGACTATCATGTAGAAAATTAGGAAGGGATTGTGTCTTCATTTTGACATTAAATGATGGACTTTCCCTTTTGTGTTCTCATCAATTTATTTCTCTCCTGAAAGCATTTTGTGACTTATAAACACTGCAGAGTTTACTAGGTATGGGTGCAATGATGCAGGCAGATTTATAAAATGGGTCTTAAAAATCAACTAACTAGAAGCCCCTCCAGCAATGGAAAATTTTGGTTTTCTTAAGCCACCCATGATATATTCACTTTCAGGTTTCTGTGTTTATGTGGAAGAGAGAAACAGAAAGATATTGTTTTGACTAGTGTTGGCAAATGGACAAAAGCTGGTTTTTTTTTGTCTGAAACGTTTTCCTTTTCTCCTGTAAAGTGTGCAGAAATGTATTCCTTTATTGGTGTAAGAGTGTACAGATATTCATTGACCTCATACCGATCGCTTAACTGACAACCTCATCCAGTCCACACTGTAATTCCTGTCCCCAGGCATTTATGGGACTGCCCAGGCTTGAATCCAGTGAACAGATAAGTATTTGGAATAAAACATCATGACTTAAACTGAAGCATTAGTTTCCACCTGGTAAAAGTAAAATAATATAATGTGTAAGAACTGTTCACTCATTAAGGTAGTTTCAGATTGTATACACAAAGACAGTGTTGATTGTCCTATTTTCTTTCTTGTTTTAGTAGTTACTAACATGATTGACAATAAATTAAAACTATTTTTAGTACTTGAAAAAGTAACATGGGTTTAATTTTTTTATTCATATCTTATTTTTGGAATATTATTCTTGCTGCATTTTGCCATTTTACTAGGAAGAGATAATTATCACAAAGAGATGGTTGACATTAATAAGGCATGAAAGCAAAACACAAATTAGTATACAAAATTTGGGGCTAGTGCTATATTGTTCTTTCTCTGTATTTTCAAAAGGAACTGAAGTGTTTCCTGAGAACAATTCCCATTGTGCTCATATTCTCTCTGGACATATTCAGGCACAATTTTCATTAAACTTGAAGGCAATTGAAGTGGTTTTTCATACCTATTACTTTTCCTGGACTTAATTGCTTGAGAGCAGTGGAAGTGTGTTCTGACTTTTTCAAATCATACTTTCTTTCTGGCATAGTGTTTGAAAACCTCTTCCCAACCCTTTTTAATGTATCATGCAACAATTTTCTCGCAATAAAAAAATGAGTAGTTAATAGTTGGAAGTAAAGCACTCCTCAGCAAATGTAAAAGAACAGAAATTATAACAAACTGTCTCTCAGACCACAGTGCAATCAAACTAGAACTCAGGATTAAGAAACTCACTCAAAACCACTCAACTGCATGGAAACTGAACAACCTGCTCCTGAATGACTACCGGGTACATAACGAAATGAAGGCAGAAATAAAGGTGTTCTTTGAAACCAACGAGAACAAAGACACAACATACCAGAATCTCTGGGACACATTCAAAGCAGTGTGTAGAGGGAAATTTATAGCACTAAATGCCCACAAGAGAAAGCAGGAAAGATCTAAAATTGACACCCTAACATCACAATTAAAGGAACTAGAGAAGCAAGAGCAAACACATTCAAAAGCTAGCAGAAGGCAAGAAATAACTAAGATCAGAGCAGAACTGAAGGAAATAGAGACACAAAAAACCCTTCAAAAAATCAATGAATCCAGGAGCTGATTTTTTGAAAAGATCAACAAACTTGATAGACCACTAGCAAGACTAATATAGAAGAAAAGACAGAAGAATCAAATAGACGCAATAAAAAATGACAAAGGGGTATCATCACTGATCCCATAGAAATACAAACTACCATCAGAGAATACTGTAAACACCTCTACGCAAATAAACTAGAAAATCTAGAAGAAATGGATAAATTCCTCGACACATACAGTCTCCCAAGACTAAACCAGGAAGAAGTTGAATCTCTGAATAGACCAATAACAGGTCTGAAATTGAGGCAATAATTAATAGCTTACCAACCAAAAAAAGTCCAGGACCAGATGGATTCACAGCCGAATTCTACCAGAGGTACAAGGAGGAGCTGGTACCATTCCTTCTGAAACTATTCTAATCAATGGAAAAAGAGGGAATCCTCCCAAACTCATTTTATAAGGCCAGCATCATCCTGATACCAAAGCCTGGCAGAGACACAACAAAAAAAAGAGAATTTTAGACCAATATCCTTGATGAACACTGATGCAAAAATCCTCAATAAAATACTGGCAAAACGAATCCAGCAACACATCAAAAAGCTTATCCAACATGATCAAGTGGGCTTCATCCCTGGGATGCAAGGCTGGTTCAACATACGAAAATCGATAAACGTAATCCAGCATATAAACAGAACCAACGACAAAAACCACATGACTATCTCAATAGATGCAGAAAAGGCCTTTGACAAAATTCAACAACGCTTCATGCTAAATACTCTCAATAAATTAGGTATTGATGGGACATATCTCAAAATAGTAAGAGCTATCTATGACAAACCTACAGCCAATATCATACTGAATGGACAAAAACTGGAAGCATTCCGTTTGAAAACTGGCACAAGACAGGGATGCCCTCTCTCACCACTCCTATTCAACATAGTGTTGGAAGTTCTGGACAGGGCAGTCAGGCAGGAGAAGGGAATAAAGGGCATTCAATTAGGAAAAGAGGAAGTCAAATTGTCCCTGTTTGCAGATGACATGATTGTATATCTAGAAAACCCCATCGTCTCAGCCTAAAATCTCCTTAAGCTGATAAGCAACTTTAGCAAAGTCTCAGGATACAAAATCAATGTACAAAAATCACAAGCATTCTTATACACCAATAACAGACAAACAGAGAGCCAAATCATGAGTGAGCTCCCATTCACAATTGCTTCAAAGAGAATAAAATACCTAGGAATCCAACTTACGAGGGATGTGAAGGACCTCTTCAAGGAGAATTACAAACCACTGTTCAATGAAATAAAAGAGGATACAAACAAATGGAAGAACATTTCATGCTCATGGATAGGAAGAATCAATATCGTGAAAATGGCCATACTGCCCAAGGTAATTTATAGATTCAATGCCATCCCCATCAAGCTAACAATGACTTTCTTCACAGAATTTAAAAAACTACTTTAAAGTTCATATGGAACCAAAAAAGAGCCTGCATTGCCAAGTCAATCCTAAGCCAAAAGAACAAAGCTGGAGGCATCACACTACCTGACTTCAAACTATACTACAAGGCTACAGTAACCAAAACAGCATGATACTGGTACCAAAACAGAGATATAGACCAATGGAACAGAACAGAGCCCTCAGAAATAATGCCGCATATCTACAACTATCTGATCTTTGACAAACCTGAGAAAAACAAGCAATGGGGAAAGGATTCCCTATTTAATAAATGGTGCTGGGAAAACTGGCTAGCCATATGTAGAAAGCTGAAACTGGATCCCTTCCTTACACCTTATACAAAAATTAATTCAAGATGGATTAAAGACTTACATGTTAGACCTAAAACCATAAAAACCCTAGAAGAAAACTTAGGCAATACCATTCAGGACATAAGCATGGGCAAGGACTTCATATCTAAAACACCAAAAGCAATGGCAACAAAAGCCAAAATTGACAAATGGGATCTAATTAAACTAAAGAGCTTCTGCACAGCAAAAGAAACCACCATCAGAGTGAACAGGCAACCTAGAGAATGGGAGAAAATTTTTGCAACCTACTCATCTGACAAAGGGCTAATATCCAGAATCTACAATGAACCCCAACAAATTTACAAGACAAAAACAAACAACCCCATCAAAAAGTGGGCAAAGGATATGAACAGACACTTGTCAAAAGAAGACATTTATGCAGCCAAAAAACACATGAAAAAATACTCATCATCACTGGCCATCAGAGAAGTGCAAATCAAAACCACAGTGAGATACCATCTCACACCAGTTAGAATGGCGATCATTAACAAGTCAGGAAACAACAGGTGCTGGAGAGGATGTGAAGAAATAGGAACACTTTTACTGTTGGTGGGACTGTAAACTAGTTCAACCATTGTGGAAGTCAGTGTGGCGATTCCTCAGGGATCTAGAACTAGAAATACCATTTGACCCAGCCATGCCATTACTGGGTATATACCCAAAGGATTATAAATCATGCTGCTATAAAGACACATGCACACGTATGTTTATTGCGGCACTATTCACAATAGCAAAGACTTGGAACCAAGCCAAATGTCCAACAGTGATAGACTGGATTAAGAAAATGTGGCACATATACACCATGGAATACTATGCAGCCATAAAAAAGGATTAGTTCATGTCCTTTGTAGGGACATGGATGAAGCTGGAAACCATCATTCTCTAGCAAGCTATCGCAAGGACAAAAAACCAAACACCGCATGTTTTCACTCATAAGTGGGAATTGAACAATGAGAACACATGGACACAGGAAGGGGAACATCACACACCGGGGACTGTTGTGGGGTTGGGGGAGGGGGGAGGTATAGCATTAGGAGATATACCTAATGCTAAATGACCAGTTAATGGGTGCAGCACACCGACATGGCACATGTATACATATGTAACAAACCTGCACGTTGTGCACATGTACCCTAAAACTTAAAGTATAATAATAAAAAAAATGAGTAGTTATATATGTCTTTCTAGCAGTGAGATTTTGCAAAAGACAACTGAAGTATCTCACATGGAGTGACCACTCATTTGGAATTGCTCATTGCCTGGGCAGATGTTAGAAGAATTTGCATTATATTCAATAGCCATGCCTGGTGAAGTCATTGTTGTAATTTGGCTGAAACTAATGCAATATTACTTTAAAATATTATTTTCCTAAAGATAATATAACTTATTTTAAAAAAGACTTAAACTGAATCTTTGGTTCTTCTGAATATTGCATTTTATGAAGTGTGTGGGTGTGTGTGTTTATGTGTGTGTGCAGGGGTGAGAGAGCAAGAGAGAAGTAATTTTTTAAGAAACTGAAAGAATATGTTACAGAATGGGAAGTTGTTTTATTCATGTGTTATTTGATGAGATATTTCTAGCATCTTGAAGATTTATCCATAAGATTTAGAGGCAAAAGAATGGCCTTTTGTTTATAGTTCTCGTTTGGAATCAGATTCATCATTCTTACTTAAACAAAAAGAAAAAAACATATTTACATATTTTCCAAAGTGTAATATTATAGTGAAAAACTTTACAACTGAGTTCAAAAATTTTGTTAGAGAACCTAAAGCACCTAGAGTTATTTCTAATATTAGAAGAATGGAATGTTAGTCTTATGATTCCCCTAAAAGCCCTTTTAAAGATATACAATAGGTGATATTATATATATGTCACCTATGTACACATATGTACATACACATGTATGATTCCTTAATAGCCTCTTTAAAAGGTCTCAGGTTGTCAAAGGAGCACATGAAAAGGTGTTACACTATGGTTTCATAATCCACATGAAGTTTGTCCCTTCAATGATATTTGTCCCCTGACATTTCTGTAGCATGATTGAAATATCTATGTTAGGTTACCAGGGCATGGAGTCAGCAGTATGAATTATCTGTACTTTGTATGGGTACAGATCTTACCTTGCTACTTAATCAGTCAGGATGGACCAAGTGTTGCCACAGAAAAAGAAAAACTCTTTTTTTTTTTGACAGGGTATTGCTCTTTTGCCCAGGCTGGAGCGCAGTGGCATGATCACTGCTCATTGAGGCCTCTCCTGCCTGGGCTCAAATGATTCTCCCACCTCTACTTCCTATCTGGGGCCAGAGTCGCTTGCCACACCCCCAGCTATATTTTTTTTTATTTTGTAGAGACGGTGTCTCATTATGTTGCCCAGTCTGATCTCAAACCGCTGAGCTCAAGCAGTCCTCCCGCTTGGCCTGCCAAAGTGCTGGGATTACAGGTTTGAACCACCACAATCAGGCCCGGAGAACAGCTGTCAAATATCAATGAACTAACAGCAAAGCTTTGTTTTTACAATCACTTTACATGAGCACGTGGATTGGCAGGGGACCTCTGCCCAATATCTTTACACAGAAACCCACAGAAGACTCACTCTTGACACATGTTTGCAAATCACCACTGAACGGAAAATGAAAGATTGTCACTTGCTCTTTGAAATTTTCTTTTAAGTGACCTTGTCACTTCTACCCTCAACTCATTGGCTGAAGCAAGTTACAGCGTGGGCGGCTAACTTCAAAAGGTCAGGGACAGCAATCCTATCATGTTTCCAAAAAGAGAAAACAATGCGAATCATCTAATGCCAATCAGAACTACCATAAATGATTAGACTGATCCCAGGAGGGAAAGGGTTAGTGTAAATTCATTACTGTTGTTTAAAAAGATGCTCGACAGCACATTTGCTGCTAATTAATGGTGTCATGTTTGAAGAAAGAATCCGCAAATGCTTATTTTTAATAATTGAAAAATAAGGAGAGCTTTTTCTTTGATCGTGAATTAGTCTGTGCAGTTGGATGATAAATTACAAGTGATTACAACTACCACTTATGCTGCTAAATTATAGCTCTTCAGCATTGTTAGAAACAAAAAGGAAAGCTGGTCTCCATGGAGGTCATATACATATTTTCTTAGGAGGAGTGAGAACAGGTGTTGAAATTTAAATGGTAAGAACCTTAAGTTCATAGGGAAGACAGCTGAATAGAAACTGAGGGGCAAGCTTGGGGAGCCCTGTGGGATTTTTGCAGGGGGCATGGAGGAGGAAGGGAGTAGAAGAATGCTGGCATTTGTTTATTCATGGTAAGAGGTGCTTTGGTCAAGAAGGGATGAAAATGTTTTCATGTTTATAAAACAGTCATTGATCAACATTCTTTGTCTCTCCCTCTCCATCCCTCTCTTCTTCCCTTCCACCTTCCACTTCTTTCTTTCACCAGTATGACAAAAACTTGGTAGCCTACCATTCTGGATTCTGTCTATAGAACTGGAAATTCCTCTATATACAGAACTTACATTCTAGTAGTTATAACAGTGATAGGTGTATGTAGAAAACCTAAAGCAGAGTAAGAAATACAGAGCCCTGAAAAGCACTACTTTTTAGAAGTGTTCATGGAAGGTGTCTTTGAAGACATAACATTAGAGGAGAGAGAATAAAGTGAGGAAACAAGCCTTGAAATGACATAGAAAATAGCTTTCCAAATGGAGCAAATATTAAGTGCCAAGGCCCTGAGGTAGAACTGTGTTTGTCTGCTATTAGTGCTGGGCCTTCAGAGATGAGTGCTTGCAGGACTTGGTATAGGACCTGGCCCACAGGAGTGGCTCATTGAATATTTGTGGGATGAATGAATGAGCAGATGAATGAATGTAAACCCCATCCCCAAAGAATTCCCACTGTAGCAGAGGATGGAAGTCTGACTAAAGATAACTACTTGGTAGCAATAACAACATTCAGCATTGCTCTTCATTGGGTAGGGCACTAAGATCTTTACATAAGTTATCTTACATAATTCACAAAGCAATACTATGGACACATGTTATTGCTCCCATTTTGTAAACAGAAAGTCAACAGAGATTCTGTTATAATGTTTAAGTGTTTGGACTCCGGAGCCAGACTGCCTTGATTTGAGTAACAGTACTTCCACTTGCCATCTTTATGACCTTAAACAAGTTACTTAACTTCTCTGTGCCTGGGTTTCCTCACTGGTTTTAAAAAACCCGAATATAACCGTTTCAGGACATTGGTGTGAGGATTGTGTGAATTAACATATGCAAAATACTTAAGACAGTAACTGGCACTATATAACTTTTCTTATAATAAATGCTGTCATCATCATTTTCAAGATTATGTAGGAAAATAGGGATGCTAACTGCTTGAGAATTCCACAGAGGTCTTCATAAATAAGATGTTTGAACTAAGATTTGAATGGAAAGGTAGGAATTCTAAAATGTATTCAAGTGGTATGGGTGTGTGTAAATATTTCAGCTAATTCAGCATTGATTTTTTCAGGGGGATTTAAAAAGTATATTTGGTAGTAAATTGTCTCCTTTTTGCTGAATATCAGGCTACTATAATATAAATTCCACCTTGTTCCCCCAAATGCTTCTAGACTTACAACTTGTATACATGAGAATAAAATCATTGTCATTTTCCATCTTATAAGACAAAACATAAATCTAGCCTGGTTTAGCCTCCATTGTCATTAAATAAAAAATAAGAAAATGATCTCCTGTGCAGATAGTCAAATTGAAAAGCTCATGGGTGATAGTTAAAGTTTAATACCCACTGAGGCCATTTTAGGAATAGCAATAATTTGGCTGTGTATAATTGTGTGTTTATGTATGTGTACCTTTATATGCATTTCTACAACACAAGCTGTTACTGAATCAGAGATGTGTGACCTTCTTTCATAGATATAAAAATTACACCTGGAAATATTCTCTGAGTTTACATGAGAGAAGGGAATGGCTTATTTTACACATATAAAATTATACATATCTTCACAGCATCTTAATCCATTTTTTTCTTTAGCCGTGTCTAAATGGTTTAAGAACGCATTACCTAATAAGTTTGGTGTGGGGAAAAATGCCTTAGAAAGGAGTAAAGCAAAATCTATCACCATCTCTCTTTTAATAATAAATATGCAAGTGGATGATTACAAAAGAAGAGATCTGGAGATGACTGAAAAAGAACATTGTGAGGGTGTTGGATTATCGAAATTTTTATACATTAGAATTCAGTGTTTATTTTGAGAATGAAACACATTTTTTCTATTTACATTTACACAAATAAAGTGCCTCTGCCCACAAACAGTCCTTCTATGAGTTAGGAATAATTTTCCTGTGGTATAAATTGGTACTTCTGTTTCTGGCCTTAGTTCTGGGCTCACACAGATGGCCTTTATAAACATAATCTATTATTTACATAAATCAGTTCTCTCTTTACCCCTTGTAAACACTCCTGTGCAGTTATTTGAATTCAGATCTGATTATGGATGGCAAATGTATAGCAAGAAAAATGGAAAAGCTAATTATTTTACTATTTGGATTTATTTTTGTAAAATAATTTCCAAGGATTTCTTTAGAGTTTCTCTGCAAGGGTAACAAATTCCTCCTTTCTTTCAGTTCCCTCCTTCATCTGAATCTCAGGTCTTACAAGTGATTAACATCTCATAATTCACTATGGCTTCAGCACTTGTACATTTCAAGGGCCATTTTAGCAATAGCACTAATTCATGTTTACATACTTTGTAATGTAAATGAACTGTGATACTTATGTCGTTAACTGTTATTTAACAACATAATTTTGTAAAAATTTGAAAGGCATGTATTTTCTAATGAGGTAAATACAGTATCTGTTATAACAATGACTAGGTCTAAATGTTTTTAAACATTGCATTGGAGGCCCTGAGCAGAAAGATGCAATATATTTGAGTATGACTTTGTTTTGTAACAAAAACGTTGCTCTAAGGCACAGATATTTGTTTTGGTGAAGTTGAAGTCACTATAAACATGTGTGGCTTCCTTATTCCCACCATCTGTGGTTCATACACTATCCTCAACTATGAGATCACAGTTGGGCAAGATGGAATTTCCTTGTTTAAATTTTCTCATCGGTTTTTCCCACAGAAAGTTACTAATGACTAGCATATTTTGAAGTCTACTTTCATTATAGTTCATCTATCTTCATATATATATATATATATATATATATATATATATATATATAAAATGTGTGTATTTGGCATTTATATATATGTATTTGGCATATATATATGTATTTGGCATTTACATAAAAACAAGATCAGTGATGGGTAATTTTAAATGCATATTAAATATAAACACCAATGCATAGAAATATTATTTTATGAGGTAATGTCTTGATATTTTGTTCGTGTTAAGTGCTATGAATACATATGATAAAGATATTATTTCTAGAAACAAACAAAAAAAGATTGGGACCCAAGTTTATTGATTGATAACGGTTAGCCCAATGCCTACACATAATTAATATCAATAAATATCAAAGAAAGGAAGGAGAGAGGGAGGGAGTGGAAGAAGGAGAGAAGAAGGGGAGGAAGGAAGGAAGAAGATAGCATAGCAGTCAGAATGTTCAGATACTATGGTGGCTTCACTAACTTTGTAGTCACTTTACCTTGGGCAAGTTATTTAACCTCTCAAAGTCTCAGTTTCCTCATCTCTAAAATGGAATTGTTTTGATTAAATGAGATGAAGCAGTTAGTGCAGCAGCAATTAATACATTTTAGAAATACTTTCAAATTATTTTTAATGAATATGAAATTTTAATTAAATGAGTAGTATCAGCTGATAATTTTACCTATGAATACAGATTACTCATTTTCAAAAATTAGTGGTGAACACACTTCAATACTACAGTTTACACCGAACATAACTTATGTTTTTCATTGACCTTAAAGGTACATATATATAAATTGTTAAACATATGTTTATCAGGTGAGCATCTATTATGTTGATTCGCACTGGTCTAAATTCTGGGGTTACATAGTTAAGTCTTCTCAGACTAGTAGACAAGCAGTGTACTGTAGTGTGATGAATGCTTTAATCTAGGTACACAGTGGGATGCTGTAGAAGTAAAGGAGGAGCGGCCGGGCGCAGTGGCTCACACCTGTAATCCCAGCACTTCGGGAGGCTGTGGCGGGTGGATCACAAGGTCAGGGGTTTGAGACCAGCCTGGCCAACATAGTGAAACCCCGTCTCTACTAAAAATACAAAAAAATTACCCGGGTGTGGTGGCAGGTGCCTGTAATCCCAGCTACTCAGGAGGCTGAGACACGAGAATCACTTGAACCCAGGAGGCAGAGGTTGCAGTGAGCCAAGATCACACCACTGCACTAAAGCCTGGGCCACAGTGCGAGACTCCATCTCAAAAAAAAAATAATAATAAAATTTAAAAAAAAGGCAAGAAGGAGCATCTGTTTAAATTTCAAATAGAGAGGAAGTGAAGGATTGGCAGGAGAAGTTAATGAGTGGATATCTAAGGTTTCCTGTCAGTGGTGAAATTTGAGTTAGATTTCTGTGATAGGCAGAATTTCTAGGAATGACCCCCAAGATTCCACGTGTCCTGATCCTATGAATATGATGTGATCTCGCTCCCCTGATTGTATTCTGTTATATGGACCAGCTGACCTTAAAATAGGAAGATTATCTGGTTGGGCCTTATAAGCAGAGAACTTTACCAGCTCCTGGCAGAAAAGGAAGGCAGAAGAGGAGGGCAGAAGAGGAAGTCAGAGAGATTTGTAGTACAAGAAGGATTTGATGTGCTGTTGCTTGGTTGAAGATTCAGGGAACAATACAAGAAGAAATATAAACAACCTTACAGAGTTTGGAGAGGCCACTGGCTGACAATCTTCCAGGACACAAGGACCACAGTCCTATAGCCACAAGGAACCAAATTCTGTCAACAGCCTGAAAGAGCTTAGAAGTGGATTATTCATCAGAGAGCCTTCAGATAAGAACCCAGCCAAACCCACCTGATTTCTGACCTAAAGAAACTAAGAGATTATAAGTGAGTGTTGTTTTAAGCCACTAGGTTTCCATGAATTTGTTACAAAGGAATAAAAAGATAATATAATTTTGAAGGGTGTGTTTTAAACAGCCAGGAAAAGAAACAAAGACCAAAAGGCTACTTAAAAAGCAGATGGAAAAATCTAACAGAGAATTCACAGTCACGAGGGTGTAAAAAATGCACAAAATCATAGTATAGGACACCAGTATTAGTGACAGCAATTACCATTATACCAAGAGTATGGAGCTATAAATAAACATCTAGTATCTGGATCAACAGCATTTTATTCATTGTTTGCCATGGTTGAGTGATAAAGTAGCTAACATTAAAAGGTAAGAATACTTTTTCACTTATATCTATCTAAGGATCTTGTGTTTGTATGTATAGGGAAGTTTATTTTTGGAGATGTGGGAATAATATACATTGAATAAAACATTATTAAAAGTAGGCATAAATTAAAATATATAAGCAATTTCAATTTGGAGAAGAGGGAATGAGGTGTACTAAAATTTATAAAGAATTAAATAAAGAGGATAAAGACAAATTGGAAATTGAAAAGGAATAAGAAACATTTTTCTGTGTTGGGATTGTAGTATGTAGAAATCTAATCTTATAGTATAATATTTGTAATTAAGATGCTTAGTTCCAATATGTTTCATTCAGCACTGGGTTATTGTTTAGTACATTTGTGCAATAATTAGATAAAATATATTTTAATGAAAGTAGATTTTGTGAGTTGGAAAATACACTTGCTTTAGCAAAGTAAACTAAAGTTAATGTATTTTCACCAAATATAGTTTTCTTTTAATTTTTTTAAATTTTGTAAAAATGTAAGACATATTTAGAGTAACTCCCTAGTTAGTTCTTTACTAATTGATGCTTTGAAAAGACAATGACTTTTTTATCTGATGTATTTTTAATAAAATAGTCTCTCACATCACATTTCTAATGAATGCATTAAAATTCTCAAGTGACTAAAGGGAGTTTAAATTATCTCTGTATTATTATGTCAGCCATCTAGATCTATGATATCAAAATATATATATTTAAGATGTGCACAAATTAATTAAAATGATAAGTTTCTAAATCTCTCTTTGTATAAGTTCCAAGAATTATAAAAATAGCACTATTTTCTGATCAAACAGTTAACACTAAATTTTACAATGTTTGTAAATGTGGCTTAGAGGCCAGTCTTTTTACATGGTTCCTTGGTTTACAACAGCAGCCACCATGATAATTTCAGCAAGTCAATACAATGTGTTCTAAAAAAAAAAAAAAAAAGATTGGCAAACTTTTTTTTTCCTAACCATGTTCTGCATTATTTAACTTTAAAGTAGAGCTCATCTTTCTAAAGAGGAAAATAGTGAGCAGTAAATAAATCTCTTTTGATAAGATAACAATGAAAGGTAGTTATCTAGTCCAACCAGCAGTGCCTCAACAAAGGCTAAGCATCAGAGGCAGAAAATAATAAAAGAGGAGCATTTTTCTTCCCCTTTATATTTTTGTTTCATATTTTTCTTTTCTTTCTTTTTTTTTTTTTTTTTGAGAGGGAGTTTCACTCGTCGCCCAGGCTGGAGTACAATGGCACCATCTTGGCTCACTGTAACTTCTGTATCCCGGGTTCAAGCAATTCTCCTGCCTTGGCCTCCCGAGTAGCTGAGATTACAGGTGCCCACCACCACGCCTGGCTAATTTTTTTGTATTTGTATTAGACACGGGGTTTCACCACTTTGGCCAGGCTGTTCTTGAACTTCTGGCCTCACGTGATCCGCGCCCCCCCCCGACCCCAGCCTCCCAAAGTGTTGGGATTACAGGCATGAGCCACCGCGCCCAGCCTGTTTCATATTTTTCTATGGAAAAATTGGATTGTAGTGGAGAAAGAGAGGAACTGTTCCTCCCACCTTCACTTGTCTACTCTAAGACCAAAGTTACTTCAAAATAAGGGTTTTGTTGAGGAAAGCAGTCTGCCTCATTTTCTTTTTCCACAGACCTAAATATAAAACTTGATTTCCAAGTAGAACATTAATCAATGTTGTCTCTGCTCATCTTGGTGGTTTAATTGGTTCAAACACTCTGGCATTAACTGTCTAGGGATTTTCTAATTTGCCTATGGTCAGAAATGCTTAATTGATTTCTGTTCTGATCTTTTCATAGAAGTTCTGACCCTTTCTTTAGCAAAACCGCCTTACTTCATTTCTTTAATAAGGTTGAGAAGTTTGCTTAGTCTATTTGTTTCATAAATAACTCTCGCCCAAAGTTTAAGTAATGGATTTAGAGGTAACACTGAGAAATTCAGAGAAGGAAGTCTCATGGCTTTATGGTTCTAGATATAAGAATTATAGCACAGGGGTAGTTTATATTTCTTTATATTAGGGTGGCCACCATAAGTATGAGTACTTCATGAGAAGAGGCCCTGACGGTAGGAATTACGGTATTCCTGCCCACAACACCCCCTCTAAGTTTTCTGAATTCTGCAGTTTTTTCCAGGTGTATGGAAATATAATTGATAAACAAAAAATGTATATATGTAAGGTATACATATGTATACATTCTACTTGTATACATTATAAAAGTACATATGTATACAATGTGAAATGATTACCATAATCAAACTAAATAACATATCCATCACTGTAATTTGTTACTCAGTGTGTTTGTGTGTGGCGGGGGGTGGTGCGGGGGAGGGTAAGGGCACTTAAAATCTACTCACTTCACAAAATACAAGTAAACAATAGAGGAATATTAACTGTAATCACCACGCTGTATATTATAGCCCCAGAACTTACTCATTTTATACCTGGAAGTTTGTACCCATTGATCTACATATCCTCACTTCCCCCACCCTCTGTAGCTCCTGGAAATCACCTAAATTCTGATTGTGGATTGTGTTTCAAGCAATCTAGGAAAAGAGAGAACATTTTTATAGTTATAAAAAAGTTCAAAATTATTATTTTAATATCACAAGCAATATGTGCCAGGCAAAAAGAACCAAGAAAAAGATATAAACCCCATGAAGACAGAAATTTTTGTCTGCTGACTTAAGTTAATGTCTGTATTTGAGCCCACATGTATACTTCATATAAGTAGAGGCCATATGTGTTCTTGTTTACAAAGTGCTTTGCACTATGCCTAGTGCATACATACACACATACACGAGTGAATATCTATATAAATGTATTCTCTATAGGATTCTACTATCCATTAAAAAATTTGTCCTTTTACTTAGTATATCATAAATATCTTACCACATAAGATGTATATTTCTACAGACATAAATTTAATGGCTGTATAAGATATAATTTACTAATTTCTTCTTTTTATTCTTTTGGCCTATTTCCATTTTTAAATTTATTATTATAAAAACAATTCTTCGAGAAAGACATCACCATTTTATTCTGCACATATAATTATTTTCTAATGATAAAGCCTTAAAAGTAGACTTGACAGATAAAAGTATGTTGGCTCACAAATATAATGCAAATACTGTGCTGAAGAATAAATTGAAGCAGTCACTCATTCTTAGCTCTGGATTAAATATAGTTCATTTCATTGTTTTACTTTGAATACATTGCTGAAATGACTGGCTCTAAGGGAAAGTGTGCTTTGATTAGGAGCAGGTTTTTATAATTCTCTTCTACATGCCCATCCTGTAAATGGTATCTTTGTGTAAAAAAGAAGCAAGCATAAGGACACATAGACCAGAATAGAGAGGAACCATGGAGTGGGAAAATAGGAAAAGAGGCACTGCTGGAAGACAGAAGATAAACTGTATTTTGTGGTTTTGTGTAAGCCTGCCATTGCCTTCATCTAGACCTGCCAAGTGTGACAGATTTGGACACACTGGAAAAGTTAACGTTTTCAGTGGGAAGTTCTGGGTTTCAGTTCCTTCTGTCAGTTTAGGTATCATCAGCATCATCATTAGAATCACTAAGGAGTCAGAGAAAGGTGTGTCCACCTAATTCAAGGGCCTGAGTGCCAGGCAGATTTTTCCATGGTAGCATGTTCCATCCTAACGATCTCTTCAGCCTTGTTCCCATCCTATTCTCTTTAATAAGAAGTTGTCATTGTCTAGCAATGAATATTTATTGCTCAGAGATTTAGCAGATAGTGAATATTTTCAGACATCAAACTAATTTGCATTTGTGCTTGAGAAATTTTTCCCAGGTGGCACAATATTTTATATCCTGTTGTAACTGAGAAAGTTATCACATACATAAGAACACATTTACTTTCATTTTATTTTTCTCCTACAGTATATCCTGTTGTAACTGAGAAAGTTATTACATACATAAGAACACATTTACTTTCATTTTATTTTTCTCCTACAGAGCGTCCTATATTTCTGTAAACTGGATTACAGGGTACTTAGAAGAACGAGCTTGCTTGTCACTGAAGTATGCAGCCTCTTAAGTAAAATCCAAGCCCTATTTCATCATCATGTTTATTCTGAGAATAGAATTGAAGAGGACCACATATGGTTGAAATTATAGGGAGGGTTGAGGTGGGCAGAATCTGGCCCAGTGGAATCATCCAATTTGGAAATAATCCATGAAAACTGTTTGGCAGTTTTAGCCATGCCCCTGCTTCCCATCGCCTACCCCCTGCCCCAACTTCCAAAGAGCATATAAATTTAGTGTTGGTGATGAAAATAGGAAGAGAGAACTTTGATTTGCAGTTAACATGAAAGGAAATATACACTGTTTTAGTCCATCTGGGCTGTTATTACGAAATACTACAAACTGTGTAGCTTATAAACAACAGAAATTTATTTTTCACAGTTCTGGAGTTTGGAAGATTCTGTGTCTGGAGGCGCTGGCGTATTTAGTGTCTGGTGAAGGCCCCCTTTCACATACGTGTTGCCTCCTCTCTGTGTCCTCATGTGGTAGAAGAAGCTAGCTAGTTCACTGGGCTCTCTTTTATAAGGGCCCTCATCTCATCCATGAGGGATCTACCCTTACTTATGAACTAATTACCTCCCGAAGACCCTGCCTCCTAATCCCATCCCCTTAAGGGTTAGGATTCCAGCATATGCATTTTGAGGAGACGTAGGTATTCAGTCCATTGTGCACACCAAATTATGAATTAATGTATTAATATATAATTGTATCCAAAGAAAGGTCTACCAGGAACCCATATTTGTTTGCTGATTTGCTTGTTTAATATGCTTCATTTCCTCAAAACAAAGGGAAGCATATTTTAGCTTATTTTCCTTTTTAATCTTTTGTTTTGAGAATCTCTGCCATTGCTAAAGTAGAAAATTATGTTTTCTTAACTTTTTGTTTATTATACGTAAATACATTATTATTAATAATATAAATTCAGTGTGTATGTATTTCTCTATAGTGAAGGTGTTGCTTTTTAAGTGAATGTGGCTATAAACTGAGACTTTAAAAAATCTCATTGTCATTAAAAAAATACTGATTTAGAAAAGTTCTAGATTCACTGTATAGAACTCACAGAATATAGAATAGTTGCTAGAGCACAGAAACTAGTACTCTTTTAACTTCTAAGAAAAAGTCTGGGAATAATGTAGATCCCCTCATCTTTATTTAAGTAATCAAAATTGATTCTGTGCTGGGCGCGATGGCTCATGTTTGTAATCCTAGCACTTTGGGAGGCCAAGGTGAATGGATTGTCTGAGCTCAGGAGTTTGAGATCAGCCTGGGCAACACGGTGAAACACCGCCTCTACTAAAATACAAAAAGTTAGCCAGGTGTGGTGGCAGGCACCTGTAGTCCCAGCTACTCAGAAGGCTGAGGCATGAGAATTACTTGAACCCGGGATTCAGAGGTTGCAGTGACCCAAGATCACTCCACAGCACTCTAGTCTGGGGGACAGAGTGAGACTCTGTCTGCAAAAACAAACGAACAAACAGAAAAATGATTCTGCATAATGTGGGGCAGATTATTTATTTACAAAATTATTTTTTAGGAAAGAAAAAGTTGATTACTAAGATTTAGCTAGATTCACTATGATCAAGTCATGGAGTCAAACTTTACGTTGTTGTTGTTTGCATGAGTTAATTGGCTGATAGATTACTGGAAAGTCATGGATGTTGTGTATCTGGTTTTTAGCAAGATGTGCATCAGTGTTCCCTATAATGTCTTTATCAATGAGTATGAGGGCTGTAAGCTGAGTGATAATTTTGTTAGGCAGATCTTTGGCTGTTTGAATAATCAACTGTAGCAATGTTATTCATTAATGCCAATTTGATGAAAACTTTGGTCTGGTTCAATATGTTTATTAATAAATTCACAGAGAAGCTTAATAGCATACTAATACAATTTGAGGATATTAGAAACTAGGAGGGTTAGTTCCTATCTTGAATAAGAAGGCAGATCCAAGAACTCCACAGAAATAAACTATGGAGAATAACAGTTATTTAATTTTTTCAAATTATGGATGTGGAGGAAGAAATGAATTAACTCTGAAATGAGAGCAAGACATAGGACTAACAGATGGAAGTTTCAGGAAAATATATTTTGGCTCAGTAAAAGAAATAAATTACTAAGATTTATAGTAGTCTGAAACTGAAATTGAGAATTTTTCAGGAGATACTCAACTATTGATGTGAATAGGTGTCCCAGCAACAATTGGACAAGCCCACCGACCACTTGGTGACATTTTCCACTAGGCATTCAGCATCAGATTCCACAGCGCTTTTGAGGTGGAGGATAAGTAGATAATATGTCTCCATTATTTAGAGGAAATCTCTCACCTTTGAACTCTTACAGAACTTTAAGTCATTTAATAATTATTCCTGTGTAATGTACAGGAATAATTATATATATTATAAATATATATGTTTTATATATGGTACATATATTTATATATATATATGTGTCTATATCCTATCCCTTTAAGTTCTTTTGATAGAGACATGTCAGTCATCATAGGCTTATAGTGCCTAGCATAATATCTTGCACATCAAAAGAGAAAATAGTGAATGAATGAATGAATGATTTCTATAACAATATATTTTCTTCCCTAGGTGAAGGACATCCTAAATTCTTGAGGATACTGTGTATGCCCTGTGTTATAATAGCATGGTGCACACCACACTAGCCCTTCAGGTGTTCTTGTTCTCTTTTTGAATGCTGGTACCCTCAATTTATTATTCTTGTTTGGATATATCCAATTTACCTTGTTGAACATTATTTACTAACAGCAATCTGTTAGCCACTAGGAATGTAAAGACACATCATAATATGACCTTCTGAGGGACAAAAATTGAGGCCTATTTATCTTTGTATCCCAAATGCCTGGTGTACAGCTGGTTCTCATAAAATGTTGAATTGCTCCCGGACCAGACTTTAGAGTTTGGTTTTAAAAGAAAAGCCAGAGTTCAGCAACAGCGAAGGGAATTTAATGTGGAGAAAGAAACATGAACCAAGAGGCACAGCTTAGTGTTGCTGAGATCAGGTAAAGCATCCCTGTGACTGGGGCATAAGGTGTGGCAGGGATGAGAGGGCAAGAAAGAGTGGCACAAAAGTGCTTGCAATCACAGCAGGGACTATCAAGTAAGGGCCTTGAGTGTTGTGCCAAACGACTGTGGAGGTTGAATTTAATCTCATGGACATCTCTAGACTATTCTACTTTAGAGCAACTCTAACCTGTATGAACATCTTCCAGTTGCTGGATCATTTTCTTTAGGGATTTTTGGAGGGGGTGGGGAGAATCTCAGGGAAGCATTCATATGTCAAGCAAAGTGACCTAGACTTCAGATTTACACTGGAGGCTTCACGGTACCAGGTGTTGAAATCACACATTCTTTGGCACAGAAGCTAGCATTCTCATTTGTGCATACAGTTTATGTCTCGATTATTCTTTCAGTTGTTTAAAGGTCTGGGATAGATGCATTTAGCCAACGAGTTATGTTATTGTGTCTGCCCTTTGGAAACTTTACTTTGTAGGAAAGCCTTACTGCTTAGAATGTTCAGAGAAGCTGAGGTTATGGGGCAAGTGACAGGTCTCTTTTCTGAGGCAGCTGCCACACTCTCTTAGTCTAAGTGGATTCTTCCTGAAATTTGCTTCCCCAAGTGACTACTTGTACTGGTTATGCAGTTGGTTAATTTTAAATTGATGTCAGCATTTGCAGCTAAGTTGATTTGGAAAGCTCTCTAATTTAACTCTTCATATGTAATCCTGTCCCCAGATCATGATGGTGATAATTTTTACTGCATCTTTAGATTTAAGGTCATTTAAGTAAATTGCTTTTTGTTGTCTTCCTACTTATGGGAGAAAGAGAGAGAGAGGGGAGACCAAGAGAGCACTAGTGAGCATCAGGTGTGGTTTTTAGGCATGTGGAGTTTCTTCTTAGAAAAGTTGCTGCTTTCAATTGCATGTACGATGTACATTTAATATACTGAAGAGTTTTGCTTTAGGAATTAAGTAATCATTTTCCTCTGTGCTGCCACAGTGATTTACACCTTCCTGTTAACCTTTCAATGCCTCCCACTTTGCCGAAGATAATACTCCTTCCCCAGACTAATAAAGCCCTACGTGGCCTGGATCCTGCTTACATTTTCTCTATCCCTGTTGTATAACCACGCTTTGCCCTGTCCAGTCTCTGGAACTTGCACTGTTTCTTTCCATCATGACCGTTATGCAGACTGTTCCTTTACCTGGAGTGAAATGCACTTTTCTACCTTTTTCCACTACTCACTCCCACCTTTCCTTTGGATTTCAACTCAATTAGCATTACCTCCAGGAATCCTAACCTTGTCTGTGTCAAATCCTCTTATAAGCTCAGATATCAGTGACATGTTTGTACTGGTTGGCTATAATTTTACATTAATTTTTATGATGATTTTGTTAATATGTCTCTCCTCCACTAAAATGTAGAAACCTGTCAATTTTGTTCAGCAAGGGTCTCCATGGTAAAGCACCATACCTGGCAGAGAGGAGGTACTCAAACATTATTTTATAAATGAGTGAATAAATGATATATTTAAACCCCTTTGGAAACTCATTTCCCAGATAAGAAGGTATTGGTCAATAGTTTGTCTCACACTGAATAAATGTTCCGTTGTCCATGCCAGTACCAAACTGACTACTTCTTCCAGAAATTTAAGGACTACTATTAGGCTGAGAGTCACTTTAAGGTTTTAAGAAGTCAGGTGACAAGGGTGGAAGTGGTGAAGCTCAGAGCTAGATAACCTTAATTTCAGATCCTCACTCTACAAGTTTGCTTATGAGCTTTTGTGACCACTGAAATGTATCTTAGTCTCTCCAAGACTCAGTTTCCCTAACACATAAAAATGGGACTAAAAGCTTCAGTTCAGAAATTTAGTAATGGGCCAGGTGTGGTGGCTCATGCCTACAATCCCAGCAATTTAGGAGGCTGAGGCAGGTGGATGGTTTGAGCCCAGGAGTTCAAGTCTGACCTGGGAAACGTGGCAAAACTCTTTCTCTACAAAAAATAAAAATTAGCCTAACATGGTGGCATGCTTCTGTAGTCCCAGCTACTTGGGAAGCTGAGGTTGGAGGATTGCTGGAGCCCAGGAAGTCGAGGCTGCAGTGAGCCGTGTTTGTGCCACTGCTTCTGTCAGCCTGGGTTACAGGGTGAGGCGATCTCAAAAAAAAAAAAAAAAAAAAAAGAAAAAGAAAAAAGAAAGAAAAAGAAATTTAGCAGTGTCTATCAAAATTTAAAATATTCCTAATTTTAACTAAGCAATATCACTTGTAAGTGCTATTTTTCAACACGTACAAGGATATTCTTTACAGCATTATTAGTAATAATAAAAACTAGAAACTAAATGTTCAGAAAACTAACTAAGTAAATGAAAGAACATTTATTCAGTGGCCACTAAAGAGAATAAAAATGAATTAGTTGTGGGAAATTAGATATGGGAACATGAATTCGATATAGGTAAATGTTCAAGATACCATGTGAAATAAAATAGTTTCAGAAGGGTATATGCACAAAGAGACATGCATAGAGGCTTTCTGGGAGATACTCAAAGCATTGGCACTAATGGGTACCTCTGGGAATTTTGATGAGTGATTCATATATGTGTGCATAGGGGTAGAAGTATTTACTTTTCACATTATACTTTTACTTACTGTTGGTATTTTTACCAAAAAGATGTAGCACTAATATAATTTTTTAAAAACCTCATGAAATACAATATTACCCTCTTATGTGGTTGTAAGAATTAGATACACTCGTGTGAAAAATGTCTGGTCCATACTAAAGAGTTAAATTCAGTTGTCCCTTAGTATCCATGGGAGATAGGTTCCAGGACTTCTTACGGATACTGAAATCCAAGGATGCTCAAGTCTTTGACATAAAATGGCATAAAATAGTATTTGCATATAACTTATGCACATCCTACCATATACTTTAAATCATCTCTAAATTACTTATAATAATGAATGCAAGTAAATGCTATGTAAATAGTTGTTATACTGTATTGCTTAGGAAATAGTGACTAGAAAAAAAAAAAGCCTGCACATGTTCAGTACAGATGCAATTTTTTTTTCAAATATATTTGATCCATGATTGGTTAAATCCACGAATGCAGAACCCATGAATGTGGAGGGCTGGTTGTAGGCACTTTAAAGGAAAAATATGGTCATTTTTAAGTGCACTTGCAGAGAGCTTCCAATTTGAAGCCTCATGAGTTTCAGCTGTCCCCAGTGCCCTGGTTACTGTAAACCATTAAGTCTGGAATTCACCTCTGCATGTCCTAGTCAGCTAGGTTGGCTTCAGCCCTTCTTGCTGGGAGTGAAAAGGGAGGGAGAAGCCCTCGTTTACTTCAGGAGGTAAAAAGACTCTAGGCTGAGTCTCCAAAGCCTAGATTACAGCAAACATGTTTTACGTTAAAAATTGGGGAAGTTAAATTTTAGGGGGCAATCCCTGGTTACTTTCTTACTAAAGTTGTATAATTTCCTACTTAAAATTAAAACTCGGAAACATTACTGGCAGTAAGGGAAGGTAACATGAGTTTTCAAACCAGGTACTGAGCACATTAAAATAGACCCAGTCAAAGCTGCATACAGCTTCAATATTCATGCAATATTCAGGGTGTATATTGCCATGTCAGAGTGAGCAGCCAAATTGTGCGTTTCAGTCTCATGGCTGTCCCCTGAGGAGGAGGCCTAACTTTTAGTCTCCTCAAAACACAGACCCTCTCCACTACAAAGTGAATGGTCATTCCTTTGCTGCTTGAATCTGGGATTCTTTTTCTTGTACTTAGGGTGTACGGAATTTACCTTTCTTTGGAATCATCCTTTTTTATGGAGTTCTGCATCTGAACATGACCTGGCCACGCATATGCACACTGAGTAGTTCCATTTCAAACTAGACGTTCTGTTGAGCTCAGACCATTCTGGAATTATTTGGCAACATCTGAAACATTTTTTTTTTTTTTTTACCTACAACACTTCTAGATGTGACGTTTTCTGGAGAATTGATAAACTGATCTGGTAGCTGTTAGTGGCTACCAAGCCAAGTTTTACATTGCAATCTAAATATATTGTTCCTTGTCATGTAATGACATTTATTAGAGAATCTGGCAAAAGCCCAAATAAAAATACAGGTTTTCACACTGTTTAACAATCTGAGGTTTTATGTCTTTTTGGTGAGGTCATTGAATACCAGTCTCATTTTTACTGCCTCTATTTTTGAAAACAGTAAACAGTCATATTTTTATTGTCCTACGTGGTTGCACAAACTGACACATTGCCAAGTGGTTCTGACTGAATGCTTTTCACTTGGCAAACTAAAGGTACTAAAAAGAGGTTCACAGTGGAGACTTATGCATGTAGGGGAGCAATTTCTGTGGGCATGTGTATGTACAAAATAAATCTGTGAATTCCAGTAGAGCCAGTATCCAGGACTCTAAAAGTAGAACAGACTGATTTATTTGTGACAATGTACTTCAGCTGAACCTCTGTGCTAGTTTGTTGGCAAAACCTAACATATGGCCTTTTAATGAGAGACAGATTAATAATTGCAGATATGAATAATAAAGCAGAAAGATTGGCTGTGCCATCTTTTATTCTAATAAGGAATTAGATTTGGTTACTGAAGGAGCAGCTGTTTGCCAGGTATGGTATGCTACTGTTTGAGATAGACACTTTGATGCAAAATGGGACGCTTGATGGTGATGGACTTGAAAAAATGGATATGCGATGTGTGTTTAAATTTCTCAAGCCCTATAACAATAAACATTTTACACCCCAATGATTATTATTCTATACCGTCATTCAAAAACCTACAAAAAAGACACAGTGACAATGTTTTCTGTCTTGTTGTTCTTTGAGAGAAAAGACCTATGATGGTACCTCAGTGCAATGGAAAAAAAAATTCTTGACAAAAGGATCAAATAGAAGTGGTGGCACAGTTTCTGGAATATATGACATTATGTTTAAAATTGAGTGCAAATTCTTGTCCTCCCCTGTGCTAGACACGTTTCTTTGCCTGCTTGAATCCACAGCTCCTTCAATAGAATCAACCTGCCCCTACCTTGGCTCCTAGAAGTGTCAGCTGCACTTATCAGGTGACCCATTTCCATTTCTAGCTATGATTAGTTAGTCAGGGATGGAGCCTAATCAAAAGGGAGCTAACCTATTCATTCAACAGAGGTAAAGCAGATTATTTCTCTCAAGAATTTGAACAAAGTGGGCTCAAAGACTCAAGATATTCAGTGATGAGCCCCAAAACTGCAGTGCAGTGTACAAAATGGGCTGTGTAGGTGACCATGCTGAGAATATGCAAGATACATATGCGCAAGAATGTGAATGGTAGAGATGGAAAGAGCAGGCAAAGATAAGAACCTGGTGGAGAATGTAGAAGTAGAATTGAGAGAGAGCTAGAAGGAGCAATGTTAGGATTGACATTGTCACTCCGGTTTCTCTGAGACCACGTTTGACATTGTTGTATTCACATAATAACCATCTGTTTACCTAAGCTACTTTGAGTGAATTCTATTCCTGTAACCAAAAAAGTCTTCATGAGAACACCCC
Organism: Homo sapiens; assembly: GCF_000001405.40. Classification (NCBI taxonomy): domain Eukaryota; kingdom Metazoa; phylum Chordata; class Mammalia; order Primates; family Hominidae; genus Homo; species Homo sapiens. The sequence goes on from NC_000010.11 coordinate 51,233,322, forward strand.
ATTTTACAATATAATCCTGTGTGCATAACTATGACTTGAGATCTATTTCTACACTGAAATCTGCAATATGAGATTGTTCTAAGGAAAGCCTCTAAATAACCAAAAAGACTAGACAACCTTCAGTATTAGGGTTTAATAAAAATAGTTAGCATTCTGATATGGGAAATGTATTCCAGATGGAATGTTATTAAGGCTTATCAGTCTAGAGTAAACATGGATGTGTACACCAAATTCTTCAGTATCAGAACCAGATGGCACTCAAAAAGGTTTAATTTCATTCAAATAAGCAATGCCACTTTACCAACTAGAAAGGGGATAAATGAAACTCATTACCTCAGTGTATGGCTTAGGACTCAGATAAATGCATGTGAGAGAGATCCTTAATAGGTGATTGAGATAAATTAGGGAAATTTAAGAAATCTTCTTATACCTTTAAGGGAGACTAGTGAGAAAGATTTTGCTGTCTAACAAAACATTTTCTTGATGTTAGTATTCGATTCCACAATAAGCGGTATCTTTTATTCTAGTGTTCTCTGTGGGTAGTAGGTATGAATTTGCCCTGTGACTCTCAGGTGTCTTGTTACATTCTTCTTATGAATCAGATTATTTTCTCAAGAGTCTGGAGATCTTATGTCATCCTGAAAATGTAGGGAACGGTCTCTTTAGCTTATCAGAGTTAGAATTGAAATGCATATTTTCCAAATTCATATGGACCATATCAAGTTGGGAGCCTGTTTAGTGCCCAATCTGACCTTGGAACACTTTGCCCCACTATGTGACTTTAAATAAGCTTCTTAACTTCTCAGGGTCTTGGTGCTAAGGTCAGTCTTTCTGAATTCATCAAAGGTTTTCAAAGATCCTCTCGCCTTTTGAGATTCTGCATGGTAGTAAAACCCACTTCCTCACTATGGAACCCACCCGTCTTTCTGTGTCAGACAATTTTCTTCTGCTTATGGTTGGGGCCACTCCTCACCTTTAACTAATGAATTCCTTTTCTGCTTTGTGATGAGCTAGTCTTTTCTGCCCAGATTGCACTGAAAGATAGAAGCTGCTGCTTCGTTGTAAGGAGAGCTCAACCTGTTCACAAAGATATCTACCTCCCTACAAATTTTTTTTAGAACAAATATTGCTTGAATACATTTAAGGCAAAAATAAACCAATAAAAATCAGCCTTAGATTTGATAGCTGGGTTGGAATTGAACCTTTAGGTTTTCTTACCAAACAGGATTTATCTCTGCTTCATTAATACATAGCATTAATTTGGCATTTTTATTCTCCACTTTAAATAGAACACGGGAAGACAAAATAATTTTCTTTCAGCAACAAGAAAGTAAAGCAGTAGCAGGAAATCTAGAAAAAAAAATCCTTCTAAATAGGAATTAATATTTTGCATCCTTTTTTTGTATTTTTTTCCTCAATTAGAGTCCTAGCCAATAAACATTCAAGTCAACCAAAAGTATTATTTCTGAATGGAAAAGAAAAAAAATAAAAATATTTCACCGAAAACAAACAACACAGTATAATAACTTACGATTTTTGCTAAATTGATGATCAAATATATTGGACACACTATTTTTTCTAACAATTTATAGGCTGTGAATAGACACATTTTACCTAAGAGTATATACTATCTGTAAGTAGCTTGAAATAAAATCATTAATGTTTTTGATTTTCTATTTCCAAAGAACCAGAATATGTCCTGGTCATGGACATTCAAGCCAGTACTTTCCGTAATACCTAACTATGGCAAGAGTGTTAGAGAGCAAATTATTCTTCCTAAGAACGATATTCCATGCAGGAAGCCAGAGTTACCTTCCATAGAAACACAATTGCTCAAAGAAGAAGAGCTTTCAACTCCCTGGCCAAGCCTTCTTTGAAATGATTCTGTTTTTCTGTTACTTATTGTGGTATCTGGGAAAGGCAGATATTTGCTTACTTGTTTCTCAAATTTAAGATTAAATATTACTATTTTGTTCCTCTTTGGACACAATGGCAGATTTTCTTTCACCAAATATTTATAGAGCCCCGTTAGGTTTAAGTCACTGTCAGGCAATTTGTTCTAAATCACGTTACATCTTGCAGAAAAACAAACAAACAAACAAAACTTCTTTTCTTTGAAAATACTAATAATTGCCATTCTGCATATCATCTTGTACATTACTGTCTGCCTTTGCTGAAAGTTCTTTTGGTTTTTGTCACTTAATGCTCGGGAGATGGATTTTATAAAGACCCACTGCTGAAGCCATTCCTCCACAAGACCTCTTCCAAAATCTTATGATGACTTTTTAATTTATGATGAATTTTAAAATACAATTCTAGATGCTTACTTTTCTGTTTTTGTTACACAGAGATTTTCTGATAGAACAAGTGACAGGGAGAGATGAAAATGAAAAGGATAAAACCATTTAAAAATTAAAAACTAAGTCATCAAAATGGTGAAAATTGGTTAAATTATATACACATACCTCTAAGAAACCAGGAAAGTATGTAAAGCAATTTAGAAAAAACTCCATCAGAAATGGTTAAAAATGAAAAATAAAAAAAAAGAGAGAACCAATTAATATTTGGAGGGGAGAGAAATTTGCAAGATTTCTTTCTTCCCAAGGTCAGTGGTTCTCAAATTTTGAATGTATCAGAATCACCTGGAGGGCTTGTTAAAACAGATTGCTGGTCCCGCCCTTAGAGTTTCTGGTGTAGCTGCTTTGGGGTGGAACTGAGAATTTGCAGTCTAACAAGATCCCAGATGGTACTGATGCTCTTTGAGAACCACTGTTCTAAGAATAAGAACAGTTAATTTTAGTTCCAGAGTATGACTTTTCAGAAGTCATTTGACCTCTTAGCCTCACTTTCTTTATCTGTACAATAGGGAAAATACCTAGATGGCTACCTCATTGACAGGGGAGAGCCAATTAATCAATAAATTTGATAACCCTTAACTGCTGACCTTAACTCTGCAATGATAACCTGTTATACTGATAATTCAAATGCCATTTTATATTATTTTTATACACAGTGTAGAAATGTTTATTTCCTGTGGTATCATGTGTCTTTGTTGTCAGTATTTGTCAGCTTTCATGTGATATTTTTCCCACCTCCCTGTGAACTCAGAAATGAGGAAAGTAGTTTGCATTCCGAATATGCATTTGGGCAATAGTATAGATGTTCATCTATCCAATAAACCAGGTTCTTTTTTTTTTTTTTAATGGAGTCTTGCTCTGTCGCCCAGGCTGGAGTGCAGTGGCATGATCTTGGCTCACTGCAACCTCTACCTCCTAGGTTTAAGCGATTCTCCTGGCTCAGCCTCCCGAGCAGCTGAGACTACAGGTGTGCGCCACCATGCCCAGCTAATTTTTGTATTTTTAGTAGAGACTACGGGGTTTCACCATATTGACCAGGCTGGTCTCGAACTCCTGACCTCATGATCCACCCACCTCAGCCTCCCAAAGTGCTGGGATTACAGGTATGAGCCACCACGCTCAGCCATGAACCAGGTTCTTTCCAGTTTTGTGAGATGCCAGTATAACCCATTTGAATTAATTAACCTACATAAAGAAGCAACAGAGGCAGTCATAAAGGGTAGTTAGACAGTCTTTATCCCAGTAGAGTTCTGGTCACAAGGCTCTTCCTGATGTGAAGACAGATGTGGAAGGTTTTGGCTAAGGTAATCAGACTTCCTGTTTTGCTCAGGACTGTTCTGGTTCATGCCTGTTGGGGCAGAACTATTAACAGTGCCCTTCTTATTTTCAGGACTGCACCTGCTCAGATAACAAAGTTCATACACTTTCTAACTCTAGGCAGTGGACATTGAATATTTCCATTCTTATGGGCAAGTCATCCCTGTAATTCAACTGTCTTTGCCTGATGACATTAAATAATGTTTTACCTTACCAAAGTATCTTGTTCTGATTTCATTTTTACCAAATGATATTCTGATCTCCACATTCATATTTTGGTATTCTCAGGGCGTTGGTAGCTACTGGCGCCAAAGAGTTGCTCTAAAATGTGTGTAGAATGAAAGCGCAGGGCTCTAGGGACACATGCTCCGGGAACACACAGAGATTTGCTGGGAATATCCATGGGCCCCAGGGCACATTTGCATATCCAGTGGGATCTGTCATTTAGGAAAGATTAAAAATTTTAGTTATCCCTTAATGTTGGAACAGATAGACCAACTTCAGTGGTCTGAGAGAGTATGGAGCTCACTCCCAAAGGAATCCTTACTATGTGTCCCAGATGACATACACAGCATTGACTGGCACCCACGCTCAGAGCAGTCTTCTCCAAAAGATAAAGGACACATCCAAATTGAAGTCCTTCGATCTTTGAGAATAATTAAATAACTAACTAAAGGAAAATGTTTTGATAAAATGCTTGCCACAGTACCTCCCTAAATATCTATAAAGACAGAAGATTCTGATTATAAAACACTTCTGACAAAGTGATAGTAAATATTCTCATGTATTTCTGAAAAAAAAAGAAAGCACTGATATCCTTCTCTTGACTTCAGTGTTTCAGGCCCTTGATCCCTGACAAGTTGAAGTCCCTGGGACTTCCAAGTAGATGGTTAGATGTAGCCTTAGACAGTAATATTGGTACAAATGAATTCTAGATTTATCTCACTTAACGATATCTATAGTATGTTTACATACTGTTAAGTATTTTCTATGTGGAAATGGTAAGATTGTCATTGAAACTGTTCATTGCTAATCTGTAAGGTAGACAATTACATATTCTTCTATTAAAAAAAATTGAATCTACTATTAATACTGGAAAATAAGAATTGTTATAAACTAATTTTCCAAATCATGCTGCTTAAGTTAGAAGCATGATTCTTTTTCACTGTAGCCAGGAAAGCACTATTTCACTTATAAGTAGTAGTAGAATAAACAGAATCATAAAATGTTGGTGGGCATCGAACTTTCATCGTTGTACTTTATTGAGTTGCTATAGACCATTTTGTGCCTATTTAAAAGTATTGGCCCGGCGAGATGGCTCACGCCTATAATCCCAGCACTTTGAGAGGCCGAAGCAGGCAGGTCACCTGAGGTCAGGAGTTTGAGACCAGCCTGGTCAACATGGTAAAACTCCGCCTCTACTAAAAGTACAAAACAATTAGCTGGGCGTGGTGGCGGGCCCCGTTATCCCAGCTACTCAGGAGGCTGAGGCAGGAGAATCTCTTAAACCTGGGAGGAGGAGGTTGCAGTGAGCCAAGATGGTGCCACTGCACTCCAGCCTTGGCAACAAGAGTGAGACTCTACCTTAAAAAAAATAAAAAAATAAAAAAAGTCAAAATTAGCTGGGTGTGGTGGTGCGCCCGTAATCTCAGCTTCTCAGGAGGCTGAGGCAGGAGAATCTCTTAAACCTGGGAGGACGAGGTTGCAGTGAGCCAAGATGGTTCCACTGCACTCCAGCCTGGGAGACAGAGGGAGACTCTATCTCAAAAAAAAAAAAAAAAGTATTTTTCATACAGTTTTAACATAGGCCCTTCACATTTAGAATATAAAGAGCTGCTGTGAAAATTCTAGAATATAGTCCTAAAGTTTAAATATTTACATTTGTAATTAGAGAAATTGGTTTTTATTATACAATAATTTTTATTTTTTTTTTAATTTTGGTATGTTTAGACCTAAAGTTAAATGGTAAAGTCAACAGGAATATAGTAAGCTTAAGATAACCAATGGATAAAAATCTAATTAAAGAATTTGAGGTTATAACAACTAAAAAAAATCTTTTTGGAAAATAACTATGATTTTGAAAACATGCTAAATAATATTACAAGATTGGAGTTCGGACAGCTGCTCTGTAGAAGTAAATTAAAATAGAAGTTCTGTTCTTAGCTAAATATCAGTTCACACCCTTCTCTAACCTTGCAAAAAGAAACTGGTTCTTAAATAGCATCCGTAACCCAGAAACCAGAAGTAAATAATAGAAGTATTGGAACATACGAAAACAATGCAGGAAAAGGCCAGATTTCACGATATTATTTTTTCTAAGAAAGTAAAAAAATAACTAGCAGGAGAAGAATTTTAACACTCTCTGACCCTAAGTATCACACTAACAAGTGTATACAAAAGTTCAAACTGGGGCTTCCCAGATATTTCTTTTATAATGGAGCCTGTGTAAGGAGGTTATGAAAAACACAGTTAGCCAAATGGCTAAATAGAGGTATTAGGCATTTAGGTTTTTTTGCACATTTAATAATGTGTGAAATTATTCCCAACTTTAAAAATATCTTTACATGTTCCTAATGCTGAGAGTGAGGATGAGACCTCGGCGCACCCCCCTCAACACTAGACAGATCTGCAGTGGAGAAACAAGGAGCTAAGGGTGAAATTCTTGCATTATTTCTACTTTTCTGTAATGAAATGGTTTGAGTACGTGGGCTGAGGAAGTGGTTACAAGAAAGCAGGTAACATAGTAGTTGAAAGCTTGAACCAGATCGACCTGGGTTGGAATTCCAGCTCCAAGATTTTCTGGTGGTATAACCTCAGGCAGGTTGTTTTACATGTAGGAGACTCAGCTCTCCAGTTGTAAAGTGGGATAATAGTGCCCACCTTTATAGGGCCAATATGGGAGTAAATCTAATTATTTTTGCAAAACATGTAACACAATTTCTGGCATATAGCAACTTCCAATAAATACTGGCTATCAGTAATTGAAGACCCAAGGAAGGTACAGAATGTGTTTCTGAGGCAAAGGGCCCACATGGCTCCCAGGCTTTCTCATCTGAGCAGGTATTAATTTAGGTGTGATCACAAACATTTCTAGTTATATATTAAAGACTCTACCTTGCCAGCCACATCATAAGTAACTAATATATTCTGCAGAATGAGTGGACTGTGGTTTAATTGTTAAATAAAAAATAGATATTACCTTTGCCCATCTCAGATAGTATCCTCTAGTGCTCAAGAACATTCATTGTTTCTCAGTTGTCTGCTCTGATAGACCCAACATATCCAAATTGAATATCTATTTTCCTCTCAGCATTTCTATGTTTTTTATAGACATACCTTTGTTTGTGAGATCCAGTCTTCTCAACCAGCTCTTTCTTACCAATTTTGCCTGAGAAAAGATTACTAATTCTTCAAGATTAATTTCAGATGCCCCTTCCTACACTGTAGCCTTTTTAGCCTCATAGCATTATGTATTTTAAATATGTCTTCTCTTACTATCCTTGTACAAAGTCAGTTATTTTATATATTTTTGTCTCATCAGTAGTTCTGAAGGTCAGGAACTCTCTCTTTCAAATTATGCCTCTTTAATATCTAGAAATGTATTCACAGGACAAATGTTTTGTATTTATGTATCTAATTGAAGAAATACTTCCAGATCAAACAAAATCCTGCAGGGACCTGTAAAATATCAAAAGGACTATCACCTTGAACACCAAGAGGGGCCTCCTCTGTGTAGCCTGGATGGAAAATGCCTAAACATCCTTGGTAGTCAATGGAAGAAAACTCCCTACTTAAAGGAATAAAAGGCTGGGACAATAAAAGTACTGACCTCTTAGGGATCTAAGGAAAAGATTCTGGACCAGAATGGGCCTAGGCTTGAAGTGGATCTCTTCCAAAAGAATAGTGAATAGTTTTTATCTTTTCTAAAAGATGGATTGAATGGAATTCTTCCATTTGTAGTAGTTCTTGTAAGTTTAATTAATTTTGTAACATCTTTTGAGAATTTACCACATGCCACTCCTTGAGCTGGGTGCTTACTATGTGTTTATTATTTTAACCCTCACAACAACCTCAACACCCTCATGAAGTAGGTCCTATTAGGATCCCTGTTTTGAAGATGAACTGAGGCTCATGTTTAGCCCAAGTTCACTGAGCTAGTAACTGGCAAAGTTAGAATCTGAAATGAAATCTGCCTGATGTCAGAATGATGTTGTTCATTCATAGGCTGATATTCTTAAGGCTCTACCCCAAGACAATAGTCACGGCGTCATGGCACAGGCAGCCTGTGGAGCTAGCTCATTTGCTCCAATCCAAAAAAAAAAAAGCCAAAGAACCTCCTTTAGCTAATTGCTTCTCTTTCAGGGAATCATCGAATTATCAGAGTTGGGAGAGATGTTAGCAAACATTTATTCACATATTTGAAGAGGAAAGATAATCACACAATTTAAGACGAGGAAGCTCATCTTAATTTAAGCCGAGGGAGGTAAAGTAATACCCTGCTTTAAGTCAGTGAATTAGCAGCAGAATTAGAATCTGAACTCTGATATCCTTATATTAGCCTACTGCTAATTCCTCCTAAGGCAAGAATAAACAGCTTTACAGATTAGGCCTGCAAACCCAAACCTATAAAGTGACAGCATATGTCACAATTCACATAACAGATGTTGTTTTAGGTTGCAATTGTTGTCAACTACTCTTTCTGCCAAAGTCTCTCTTTTTTAGATCATCAGAGCCCATCTGACAACCTGTAGAACTTCAGAGGCAGAGAAAAGAATTATTTCTCCCTGTCCTGTGCTGTCCTTAAACCTGAGAGGGTCATGCCTGACCTGATGAAAACACCCTTAAAAAATCAACCATCCAGTAGTCCAAAGCCAATTTCAAAACTGCTTTATTTGCATAAGCAATATTTAGAACCCTGGATACCAAAGATCCACATCATTGCCAGTGGAGAATGGCTTTTTTGCCCTCTATGCTGGAACAATAAAAAAAAAAAAAAGATGAATAATGTAACAGTCTGGCTTGAAACAAAAAGATTGCTGAATAAGGTGGGAAGCTCCCAGAACTGAAATTCAAATAGAATAATAGCATGGATTGTGATGAGGAAGGCAAGGGAAGTCGTCCTATATATAAATGACTGGGTGAGAAATTCTCTAATGAGCACATACAGGATAAAAGACAGGAGGCTGGGAGAAGAGCCCAATAACCAAGCGCAAGTGTCAGAAGCCTGTAGAATGTGTCAAAGGGAGAAAATGCCAAAGATGAGAAAAGTTTATAAGTATGTTCAGAACAAGAAGATAGAAGGTGATTGGATGAGTCAACCAAAAGCCCCTCTAGGATAACAAGTCCTACTTTGTCTTCCCCCAACACATAACAGTTTCTCTATCAAAGGAAATAAATATTAGATTGGATAGGGTATAATACTAGTGAGAAGAAGCTGAAGCCCAAAGATATGAGGAAATTTTAAACCACTACATTGGTGCAGTAAATTCAATTCAGCAAACAGTTATTGTGCATCTGTAATACCCTGACATTTTCCTAGGTACCAGCAATGATGTCCATTTCGAGGTGAGTAAGATACAATCCCTGCCCTCAAGGCTCGCAGTCTAGGGGTAAAACAAACATTAGACAAGTTAGTTATGTAACACTGGGATAAATGCAATTGCTATGTTGATCTTTGTTACTTTATAGAGTTACAAAGAATGGGAGAGGAGCAGGAAGATTGTAATTGACCAGAGGTTGATATAATTTTTGAAAAGAAGCTCAATCCCCCAATTTTTAGATTAATTAGCTTGGTGGGATGATGCCAATCATGAGCAAAAATCTGGAATCAATTAGTGAAAATATAGTGAACACTAAGACAGGTTGCAGGTGATCACTGAGAATCATCTTGAGTTTACTAAGACAGATTATACCAAAGTGATTTAATTTCTCTCTTGGAAAAAAGTGAATTAGATTTGGAGGGAGGCTGGAGACCCGGTGTAGACATACTGGATTTCTGTGAATGTTTCACTAGGTCTTCAATGGCATGCTTGTGAATAATAAGAATTGATATGGTGCTAATACATTGAGATGGACTTGGAAATGCCCCTTAATTAGTAGATATCAGTTAGAAGGAAGGCTTTTTGGTGGGGGATTGTAAGCCCCTTAGCCTTAGTGTGACTGTGTTCATCCTTTCTTTCCTGACTTGGATGATGTATCAGTGAGAGAGCCCACAGGACACAGACAGCTGACTTAAGCAGGGAAATTTGAGGAGAGTTTATTAAAAGGACTATTTACATGTGGACATGTTTTAAAGGAACTGATAAAGAGTAGTGCAGAGTCTCAGGTCTGTTCACCACCACTGGCCTAATGGGAAAAGCTCAGTCCCTGGAATAGCTGTGAAGCCAGAGCAGTCAGCAGAAGGCTCTTGCCCTGGTCAGGGTGTAGGATCACCATTTCCTGGCATTGCTCTGGCGGACCTTATGTTTTTCCCTGCTGTGGTGTATGTGCAGGTGCCTACCTAGTTCCCCATGTTCTTCCTCCTCCCTGGACTCATCGTCTGTACAGAGACCTAAAGAAATTGTTTTCCCTTTTCTGGACATCAGCCATTTTTCTGTGTTGATTTGTTGCTTCTGAAGACCTTCATTAGATAGATCTTTCCTGATGTAATCCATCATGGCATGGGCAGTTTCATTCCCCATAGTGCTGGTGAGCATTTGGCAAGGTCTCTTTTCATATACCTGTGAACAAGGACTATGGGCCTGATGCCAAGACTTAAATGCACCTGGAAATGCTAATTAATTGGTAGATATCAGTAGATATACTCCTAGAGAAGCAGGGCTGGAAACGGAACAATTACATTTGCAGGAGAGTATTACTTGACTTCTTATATTGCCTTCTGCCATTTTCCTGGTTAATTTCTAAAGACTCTTCTTACTGCTTTGGTAAATAAATTATTCTTAGACCAATGATGCTCAGAGTGTGCAGTAATTATCCCTAACAAATGTAACAAACGAGTTTTGAATTTTGTTCTATTGTGTTGATGTTGTCATGTTTTGTTTCTTTTGCAAGCAATAGAATCTTTCTTGGCCCAATGTTCAAATAACCTTTTTCTTATTTGAGCACATATAAACACACAATCAATAAAATTTCCCAAGAAGGAACAACATAAATATTTTAAAAATATATCATAGATACTTTACATAAAATGTAATACCTATGGGACTATTTAAAACTTATTAGTTATTTGATTAGATTTTCATTTATTTATGTGGCAAATTGAAATTAAGGAAACTAAGCATTTGAATTGAGTGTAGGAATATTCCCTTTCTTCCTTTTTTTTTTTTTTTTTACCATTTATATTGTCAAGGTGAATCCAAGATAATGATTTGTTGCAGGTAGCCTGAAATCTCAATATCATTTCTGAGGTCACCCTCATGTCTAGGGGGATATGTAGAGTAGATCATATTTATTTATAGAACATTCAGTGGTTCTTTCTCACACACACACACTCTGCCTCCTCCTCCCAATTCCCCCTGCTGTGGAGTCTCTATTGCAAAGAATCCAAAGGCCCCGTTTTAATTGCTCTTTACCTCTAAATGCCTTAAGGGATCCCTAGAGGGATGAAACACAGTAAGGTTTTTGTTTTCTTTCCTAACTTTTAAACTTATGTATTTTCAAATTACTGGAAAAAAAGACTACATTTTAGCATGTTTGTAATGAAAACCTTCTTAACATAAAAAATTATCCTACTATCCTTTTAAAAGAGATTGATACCTTGTCATAATTTTTCCGTTTTATAGCTGTTTTATAGTCACTTACTGGAAAAAAATGTCTGTGAGCTCCTCAGCTGCTTGAGGTTACCTTATCATTTTTTTTTTTTCTACAACCGAGATTGTATCTTTTTAACTGCAAACTTCACAGTGGAAGCGTTTTCCTTTGTGAATACTGGGACTACATTCCTGAGCCTTTGGATATACCAATGCAGACTGCTGCCTTTCCTTCTCTAGAAAGTCAGCCAAGCATAACACCAAGAGTTGATTAGAATTTTACTGCCCCTGATTCACAGACCTTCGCTTTTCCTCTTCTCCCTAGCTTCCCTTTGCTTAGCAACAGGAATGTGGCAAGCACTGTACTGCCAACAGATTTCTCTTTTGCTCTCCTATTGAAAAGAACTTAAGGATATAAGACAGCCCATAAGACATCACACATTTTACTAAATTAGATTTTTTTTACTCTGAATATGAGAGGCTTCCTCTGGCCACAAGATTTTCACAATATTTCTAGTTGAAACTGACTTAATCATATAACAACATCTGGGTCCCTGTTATCTAGTGAAATTAGCAGAATGTCAGCAGCCAGCAAAGTGCCAATGCATCTTTCAACTACAACTCTGCCCCCTTTCCCCCAAACCCTGGCACTATTTTTATAAATTTAAGTAATCTAGGTCAGGAATTAAGGCCTTCCTTGCAGTAGTTAAAAGTAATTTAGAGATGTGCACACTATCTTCCTTACTCTGTTAATACTGAAGATGTTGTAAATTCAGTGTGTCAATTCAATACTTCTCTTCTTTGAGCAAGGTGTTGTGTTAGACACCAGGCATGTAGCAAGATGAATGAGATGCAGTCTCTGCCTTTGAGGAGTGGAACAGACATGTATATAATTTATTGATATAATCTTAAGCAGAATATATATATTAGGTTGCCAATATTTGACCTAAAAGTGTAACAACCTCATATGATACAACCTAGTAAAAAGTGTTCTCATTGTGCTAAGAGAACACTGAGACTGAAGACCTTAACTGTAACTGTTGGAATTTGAGAAGGCTTCATGGGAAGCATATCATTTTAGTAAGGCTTCATAATATGGGTGGAACTGGATTCCCCTTAAACCAACCTCCTTCTGTACTAGAGAGTAGGAAGCTTGATCAAAGAAATGAAGAGCAAAAGCTAGGAGTTATACTTAGATAATAGCAAACAATCCAGAATGGCTTGAGCAAATAATTCATAGGTGGGGCAAGGGAGGACAAATATGGCTGAGACAGTACATTGGTATCAGACTCCATTGTATTATTAGGCTATAGAGAAGCCTCAAAGGTTTTGAGGAAGGGAGCAGCAAATTCATAGCTATGCACCTACCATTCCACTGTCCTTGAGATTTGCACTTGCTGCTCCGCAAGATGGACTGACTTTCTCTGACCCAGAAAGTTAATAGACAAATTTGACATTATCTTATAACAGCCATTTTGAAACAAATATCAACATTTATAAACGAGTCCAAAGTGAGGTGGAAAAGGAACTAATAAAAAGTTGTTTTGATAGAAACTGAAGCTGAAAAGAAATGGGAGCAGAGGTTGCAAACCCACATGCCCACAGGATCCAGACAGCATAGATAGAGAGATAGCACTCCACAAACTCTGGCCCAAATCCAGCCCACCTCCTGTTTTTGTAAATGAAGTTTTATTGGAACACAGGCCTATTTTTTTTCACATATTGTCTGTGACTACTTCCATGCTGCACTGCAATAGCAGAGTTTAGTATAGACACTGACAGTATGGCCAGGTAAGCCCAAAATGTTTACTTTCCAGCCCTTTGCAGAATGTTTCTAACCCCTGGCATTAAACAGCAACAGAAAAAAAAGAAAAAAAAAAAACAATGAGGTGATTTATCTATCATTTTTCAACTTTTCTGACAGATGTTGGTACAGGAAAATATTTCCAACAATGAAACAGTAGTAGAAAGAAACATGATGATAAATGTCAACTGGCAGAACCTTGGCCTCAGACTCAGGCATGAATAGGAGAATTGGGGACTGTGGCGAATTGGAGAGCTCTTGTTCACTGCTATTCAGCCCCTTATTGATACCCTGTGACCAAATCTTCCCAGTTTTCAGAAGAACATGTACCTTGGGAAAGGTATGTTATATCTTCCAGTTCTTAAACACTGGCAGCTAACAAAATGAAACATTTTTAAAACTTGGGGACCCAAAAGCAACATTTCTGTGGTCTGGATTTGTTTCATGACCATGCATTTGTGGATTCTGGATTTGGGACCAAGACATAATTCGAAAAGAGAAGGGAAAAGGTATGAGAAGGTAAATTGTACAAGAAGATGAATGGAGTAATAAATGTATGGTTCTCACGTGGCTGGTAAGACTGTGAAAGAGACAAGAATAGTAGTCAAGAAGATGAAAAAACCCCTGCTTCTTCCTATAGGTCAACTTTGTGTGTTAGAGCTCAATTAGTTTTTGGTGCACTGGGAAAATGATTCAAGTATACTGACAGTTTTTATTATTATGTTTATTGAGCCAATTTTCCCTCCATACTCATCATTTGTTACTCAAAAATGCAAGAGAAGAAAGGAATTAATTGTGCATCTGAAACTTAGATATCTATTTAAATCAGAAAATAAAGGAGATTAAAGAATTACATGAGCAAAACACATTTCTTGGTCCTTTTCATATGCATATGAGGAGAAGGAAATATTCAAGGAAAAAATTCAGAGTAAACATTACTTTCCATGAGATATTAAGTTTAAGTAAATATCCAGCAAAATTTACACCCTTAACAATTAAATATATAAAACAAAAATTGTTTGCCTTTTCAGCTAATTACCCTGAGGACAGGACGTTGTTTAACTTGTTTATTCCCAAATCCTCAGGGGCCAGCATAGTGCATCCCCATAGAAGGCACCTGCTAAATTTGTAGAATGAATGATACATCAATGAATGAGCAAATGGAGCCCCACCTATATCCCATATTGCTGTGTCTTTTCTTTCATTTCTGGCCTCTAAATTTGCTCTGATGGCGTTCTTTTCTCTCTCTTCTGTTTCTCTTGTCTTCCTCTCCCATTCTTTTAAAAACTAAATTGATTTTTTCCTACTTTTGGCCAAGTCATTTACTGATTTCCATTTTCTACCTGTGCATGAAGGTCACTTCAGCTTGGACTCTTTCTCAACTCTCTCATGTAATCTTCAGTTTGTGTCTGCCTGCTTACATTGCTATAACTTGAATTACTGTGTCTGTTAACAACAACAATAAAGGTAACGGCAAAGTGGTAGGGGAAATGTTAAACAACAATCGTAAAAGGGAGTAAATGAACCCTTAGGTAGAAAGTTAGAAGGACTGAATTTATCTGTGGCTGTTGAAAAACTAAACTACATACATTGTTAAGCTTTAAGGGTTGCTCTTGAAAATGTTCTCAGGCTGCCCAGGACAGTTATTGACCTATAGGGCACACTCAATACATATTAATTCTCTGCTCAATGTAGTATGACAAAGTCAGGATCAAATATTCATACATCCAGATCTTCCAGAGATAAGATGGATTGTAATATCTATGTTTCTTCTAGGTCTTGTTTCAAGTGCATATCAAAATATTGGTAATATTTGGGTTGGAAGAGAATAGTTTGCATATTATTATTAATGTTTTATTAAAAAAATCGCTCTTTTAGACCTGCAATTCAAAATGGTCTGTGCATTTGTAACCATGATATTATATTCAACTTCACATTTTCTCATCTAAGTACATTTGCAGTTGTCGAAAAGTCAGCATTAAATCAGGTTTGTACAATTATGGTATCTTATGGTTAAAATTAACAGAATCCATTTAGTTCATTCTCTTAATTTTTATGATGAGAAAACTCTGATCACAGAAATGGTCTCTATGGCAAACTTTATTGAACTGCATTTATATATTTAAAGAAGTGCTAACTGAAATAGTGCAATTTAAAGTTTCATATAAAAGTGCATGGAAAATTGTAAAATTTATTCTCTATTGCAACTACAGTATAACAAATTCTATGTCATGTAGATGGCTACATAGAAATTACAAAAAAAAACAACTAATGAACATTACAACTAAGGTAAAATGCTTTAATTACATTATATCAAATAAAATTTATTCTTCTTATAAAAAGCATCCCTCATATTCTAAAGATGTTGTAAATGTTAATTGGCCTGAGAAATTGGTGATTGAGTAATCAAGACCCCGGTCAGATTACAGACAAAATTAAGTACAACCGAAGGTGAAATTTTATCTGGCTCATGGAGATTAAAAGCAATATAAGGTTTAATGCAAATTTATCATTTATAAAATTTTTAAAAACATGATAAATTTTTTTAAGAGGCGAGGAAGACAGTTAATGCTGTATTAAAATAGCAGCCATGGTTAACTTACGTTTTAAAATCATTCTCTACAAAAAACTAGGGGCAAAAAAATTTTAGTTTAAAAAGTTGTAATATATAGTTTGAAAGAATAGCTTATAAGAAAATGTTAGTAATGGGGTCATCCCCATGGACCCAAATCACTGGACATTAAGCAACGCATATATTATAGAATTATCAACATTAGAAAATGCACTGAATATTAACTTGAAAAGTTTTTGACATACAGAACATGTGAGAACATGTGAATGCCATAGGAATTTTTAAAATATGTAGAAAATATAAATCTGGAAACTGTCATTTCTTATTTGCTGTTTATAAATGGCTGTATATGTTGTTCCTATTCTCTTGGCTATTTAAAGTAAATTAAATTTAATTGATATATTCTAATCAGACATATTTTAGGTGATATTTTGAATGCTAATAGTGTTAGACTCAGGTTTTGTAATTTTATTTGCAAAACAATTCAACTTTCCCTAGAAAGGAGACAGAACATAAATGAAAAAAATGACCATTTATTAAAATAATCGCAAGTAGCAGCATATTATAAATTGTTATGTTTAACAAAGGACACTATACAATTTTTCATTCAACAGTACTGATTGAGCATCTACTATGTGTGAGGCACTGTTCCAGTGTTTCTGCAGCCCAGTGAACATGACAAACACTACTATCATTGTGAAGTGTGCATTCTAATAGCCGGGCATATTTGTCATCTTTGTATTCCAGGTGACACATTTGTAATTATGAACTCTAAAATGTCATATTGTGCTTAAGTGCCTTTAAAAGCGTAAGTAATATGTTAGATGATGCTTCATAGCTTAGAACATATCCACATGCATTTATGTAATTCTTATCATCTAGGGTACTTTGTTTATTAGAGGAGAAAACTGAGACCCTGGAAGTCTTACTGACATCATGAGCCTACAGTTACTGAATGGAAAAGTGAGGCTTGTCCCTCTCATTGCAGGGTTGCTGTGGTTTAACTCCCCAACCTACCCTAAACAGCCTTTTGGCAAAAGACCAATTTATTCAGTATACCTTGGGAGAAGGCAGATATCTAAATTTATCTTGCTTTTGGCAAGAAAATGAATATTTGGTGGCATAAAAATGATCACAGTTTGAGAAATACTAGGAAACATTCTATGAGAAACTAATGTTTAGCAACGTATCAATTTATGACATTTGAAAGAACTAAGAGTGAATGATTGCTTGAAACCTGAATTGGACTGCTGATCATAGAACAAGTTTAACCCATGGGAAAGTGGGAAGTATGTTTCAGAATGATGGAATAACCTGTCATGCAAAAGCAAAGACCTTTCATGGAGACTGGTGAATTCCCAGTCTCAGACTTTGATGGATGATTTTGTCAGCTGTTTTCTCTCTGAA
The DNA here is from genome assembly GCF_000001405.40 of Homo sapiens. NCBI lineage: Eukaryota > Metazoa > Chordata > Mammalia > Primates > Hominidae > Homo > Homo sapiens. Next base: position 51,250,527 of record NC_000010.11, read on the forward strand.
TGTGTTGTGTCTCCCAGCTTACTACTGAAGCAAGGAGGTTCACTGGAATTCACTTTTCCAAAAGCAGTCAGGGACACACCATCCTTTCTTTCTAAAGTTTGTGCCTTTTTCAGCTTAGAAAAGCACTTGCCTTTCTATCTCTGACAAGTGACTGTGCAAAACTCCATCTATGACAAAATGGAATTGTGCAAGAGTAATGAAGGGATGAGAAATGCATCTCCTTTGACAGGCCATGCAAACCCCTTTACTCACATTATTACAGTGATAGTTGTAAAAGGAGGAGGAAGTAGAAGAACTGGTATTGAGCTCCTAGTGTATGTGAAGCCCTCTCTATGCCTTCCAGCCCTACACCCTGTGTTGGTAGTGTTACTGTTATTCCTGTTTTATAGATAAGAAAGCTGAGGTGCTGGGAGAATACAGAACTAGAGCTGCGATGTTTTCCCCTCCTTTTTATGTTATTGTGTATTGCCTCCTGCCCAACTCTACAGACAGATTTTACTTCCTGAATGTTTATTGTGATATTATGTCTTAAATAAGGGATAGTTTTTCTGACTGCTTCACTGATACACATGAACCCATGTGTTCCACCTTTTATAATAGGTTTCCCATAATAACACATGGTAAACAACAAATTGCATTGCTTCCTTTTCCTATTTTAATATAGAGTCATGTCATGTTTTCCTTTAAGGCAGACCAGGCACCTGTTTCATAAATTGGCAAGGACATCTGCAAGTTGCGTCTTTAGTCTGACAGAATCAAGTCTTGGCAGGAAGTTGTAAATTTCTCTTTCTCTACAAGGTGTCAGTCCTCTTAAAAGCATTTTTTAGCCATGAACTCTTTGTGAGCATGGATTGACCTACAAGAGGAAATACCACTTGGAAGGATATGTGTAATTCATTTCCATTTGGAACAGCTTATTGTATCTGCCAGGCACTCAGCTGAATGTGCAGTGTTCCTTTATATCTGCATATTTTAAATAAAATTGTGATTAAGGTCATTAAAGACCCTCATATTAGAAGTGATCAAATGGTAATTGAATAAAGTTCAACTTATATGAAGAAATCTTTAGGAACACAGAAAAAAAATGGTCATTTTCTACTATATAATCTAAAAGGTATTTTTTACCCCATAAAGTTCTTAAGAACTCACTCCTTGGGAAGAGGTAACATACTAGCTAATTGGTATACTTCTGATATAGAATTCTGCTAAGAATCAACCTCTGGCTCTTAAATACTTGGAATAAAAGACATAACTCTACTCAAAATGTGTACGGAAGTTTTGTGGTTCACAAATGCAACAGCTTCTCCTAGATCTTGAGTTAATCAGCTACCGAATGCTGAAAGTTCTCTCCAGTCCTGTTATGTATTGGCCATAAACATGAGACATTGATATAATCATAATTTACTGCTGCTAGTAATAAATGAAGACTCAAGCAATAAGTAGCATATTACTTGCATATTTATGTTGCAGATAATATGCAGTATATTGCATACTATTGCATATATACGTTATTAGTCTAATGTAATTCATGTGTGTGTGTGTGCACATGCATGAGTGTCTTCTCTTTTGAGGAAAACTCCAGCTATGTCAGATCAGACCATATACTGGCACAATGAGCCGCACAGATGACAGAAGCAAAACAAAAACAAAAACAAAAAACAAAGTCTGGAATCTGAGTGCTCTATTGTATAGTATTTGTCTTCTAATAGACTAGGAATTGCAAGTCTTCAGGTGATAACACTTTTGTTATTTGGAATAAATTTCATTGATTTTTTAAATGTCTTTACTATAAATACATACCAACACAGAGATAAGTACTTATCAAACACTTGGTGCTTATTTTTAAGCCCAAATATAAAATGCATGTTTTTTATAATAGAGAGCTCAAAGTTACATTACTAGAAAATTATTTTATAAACTTTATCAAATTCTTCAGAAAACAGATAAACTCTATTTCATTTGAGCAGAGACTTCTTACTTTATTGCACTGATGGTAATGCAAAACAAAAAAAAATCCTTAGTAAGTTCTGTTCTTTTTTTCATGAAATAGTGAGAGTTTGGATTATCATTCTCTCAACTCTACATAATAATTGCCCTTATTGACTTGAACACTTCTTATAGTAGTGTAGTGTTAGGAGAAACATGAAATTTTGAACCAGACAGACCAGAGTTTAAATCTAAATCCAACCTCTTAGCTGCTTTATATTGAATAGTTCTGAATGGCAGTTTCTTCATTCTTTAAATGGAAATAGAAATGTACTGTAATGTTGTCTTCAAGGTTAAAAAGAAAACATATTAAGCTCCTGGTGTAAGGTCTGGAATAAAGTAAAAGCTTGAAACTGGCAATCATTGTTGTTTGGATCAGAAGCAAGAAAAAACAGAGGAGGGGAATGATTTTGATAAAATGAAAGGCATTCTGGCAGGAGATGAGCCATGTGTGATTATCAAACCAACCCACCAGTGAGAACCATTCATAATTAAAATCATTGGCAGAGATTTTTACAGTCCCTCTACACCAGTTGAGTATATTTCACTTGCAAATTCTGCCCTTTTTAGGTTTTCAATTCATCGGAGAGCTACAGTTGTCAATATTAGTATGGCAAAGCAGGGAAACTATAGAAATCATGAAAGTATTCTCATTTAGATTTGTGCAGGAAACAGCATTATATTGCTAATGAAGATAAAAAGGCAAATCAATCATTTCAGAAATAATTCACCTAATCAGTCCACCATTTTTTGGAAAGGAAGAACTACTTCACCAAATGTTACCAGAGGTTAGAAAACTACAAATCAAGATCAGTGTTATTCCTTGTAAACCTTCTGTGCTGATGAAGTTCAAATGTAGCTGTTTTATAAGGTTGATTTTATAAGATTACAAGTTTCCCTTCCCTGGCTTAATTTGGGGAAAAGAACTCATCTTTCCCCCCAATAGACATCCCCTTCTACCACAAGGTATCCAGTCTGATTTTGAGATTAAAGAGTTTTATTTAAACTCTGAGTTGGATGTTACATATTTCATTCATCTCCAAGCCAGTTATGTTCAAATTCTACTTTCTGAATCCGATCAGCAAGTCTCAGAGAAGTCAGGGTTGGCAAGAGAAGGGGAAGAATTTTGACTTTCCTCTGCTGTATTGTACTTCATGTTCACTTTGAAGGCTTCAGAACCATTGCTTCGACTTAGTATTTTATCAGCGAGGTGCAGAGGAGGCCAGAACATAGAAGTGCCCATCAGGATGGAAAGACTTTAGAACTTTTCATCCCTTTAATCTTTGTAAATGCAAAATGTGTTGTGTCAAAGGAACGTAGATCTTATACTATTATCATCAAAAGATTTGAAGTTATTTTTCTTCTCAAAAGGAATCTGTGATATCAACAGTTGCATATTGTTTTTCTGTTGTAAATCAAACAGCTTGGAAGAAAAATGTTGCCATGTTTTTTGAAAGGGCAGCACAAACTATGATCATTATGGATAAATTTGAGAGTTCATCCTCATGAACTTTTAATGTTTCAACTGAGTGGCAGTTGCAAATAAAAGCGATGTAAGATCAAAGTGTTTAATATTATACACACATACACACACACTATATTCAAGATTTTACCATTTGTATTGGAATAGATTGTTTAAAGAAATTTTATAGTTGAAGCATTGATTGATTTTTCCAAGAGTTTCTTTTGATTTACAAGCTTGTAAGTATTCTAACATAATTTTCCTAGGAAAATTTAGCTCTTTTAGTATTTTGTACACCTATAAAGTGTTCTAATTTTCATGTCTCGCTCATATTGTTATCCAATGTATACATTTTTGCATGTTATTGTGAAAATATTAGATTATTAGATTTTTTGCATTAGTCATAAGGGAAATTATTGTACTGCAGGCTAAGTACTCTCAGTCTGATCCAAACCTTCCTATAGGGCTCCAAATTAGCCATTCTGTTCAACCTTTTCACCAGGCAATTCAGTAAGGGGAAACAAGTCAATCTAAGGGGTGAATTTTGTAATCACAGACTAGTAAAACAATAACAACACCTTACATAGCAGCAAAGAAAGCTATGGAATGCAAAATTAATTAATTCCTTGCTTTTCCTTAGAGAATTTGGATTTATACTTAATTGAGCTAAAGTACCTGACTAGCCTGGGATGTGCTCATTTGTATTCATAGTGATTTTAGATGTTGTATAAAGATGGAAAGCAACTAAGTCATTATTTATTTCTTTAGACTGAAATTATAATTTATAAAGAGACTTGGGAAGAAAAACTGAGATTTTCATTGAAACCAAATTTGTGTTACCTGAGGGACAGGTAGCAGTCAAAAATAGATCTATGGTATGCTCTTTGGCCCAGATTAATAATATGACAAACATTTGGATTCTGTTCCCTTTGATGAACTGAAGGAAATGTAATTCAGGACAGAATGCCCCAAATAATAACGTCGATTTTGTTAGTCAGAATTAGAGTGATTTCTGTTTTCTCAACTATGGATGTAAGTGATGATTTTAAAATAAAAACATGATAAAATAATTTGTTCAATAATGCAGTGGCCTTCCAGCATATATGAATGCTTTACATTGAATTAAATCAATATTAAGTGCCAAGTATAAGCAGTAATAATAATTTATATAAACATACAGAATTTTAAGAATATAAATAATTTGTGGAATTCAATTTCTACATATGTTTTGACTATGAAGAGCTGGGAATTACCTCATTCATTCACTTCACTTGGCAAACAGATGTCTTAATTTCTAGGTTTAAGCAATTGATTTCATGGCTCATATCTTTGTAGTAAAAGAAATCATTTAAACATGTAGAAACACAGAATTTTAGAACTGCAAGGGCTTGTGTAGTCCAGGCTCTCTCAAGAATCAGCCAGGATGCTTTTGGGAGCAGATAACAGAAAACTCTGCTCGAACTATCTCAAACTGGCTTAAACAACGACATTTATTTATCATCTCACATAAGGATTTTTGAGGTAGGCTGGACTCTGGGTGTAGTATGAAAGTTTCCCTGATGTTCTTGGGATTTGGATTTGGTCTCTACAAAGCATTGCTTTTTCTGCTGAGATTGTCAATAAGATGGATGCAGTAGCCATGCCTTTGATGTTCAGTGAAAGCTGTGAGAGAGTCGTTCTTTCCTGCACTGTTTTTTCGGGAGGAAGTAACTTCCCAGGTGCTTCCCAGCTGAGGCACTTTTATTAAATGGTTAGGCTTTATGCCAGAGATGAGCAAATACTGTGATTTATATAAAGAGATCCTGACCATCTTTGGGACTGGGAATAAGGGTCTACTTTCCTGAGTCACATGATGGTGAACGTCAACTTACTAAAGCTGGGGTTTCATTTGAGAGGAGGAAAAGGAGACATACATGTTCTGTAGATAATCATCCGTCATAGCCACCTCCTTTTGCAGATGAGGGAAATAAGGGCCCAGAGAAGACTTCTAATGGGTCCAGATCACAAACATAGATCCATTTAGTCCAGTGTTATTTTCCACCTTATTTACAAAATGTCCCCAGTGCTTTTTTATTAAATGTCATTCTGCTCCTACTTGTACTTGCAAGTGAAGATAAATTTTACCCAATAGAGTGTCTTCAGTTGAAAAACAGCTGAAACAAACCACTTTGATTTTCTCCTTTCTCAGGGAAGAGATCTCTGTCTTCCCAAGAGCCCCCACAGACCTCTGCTTCTTAGAACTTTTCACAGAGGAGTTTTAAATTACTATGATTACTTGATTACAAGTTTTTCCTTTTAGTAAATATTATGAGATAAAGCCCACTTTTTTTTAGTACTCAACAAAAGAATAAGCAAATAAATCCTGAGATTTTTCATTCCCAAAGCTATAAAACTTGTTTAAGCATTGTCGTGTGTTCCAAGATGAATGTACTGTACTTCTAGGTAACATGTAGACATGGTCTGGTCCCATGTACTGAGATAGCGTGGTAGAAAGGCTACATAAAGGATAGGCAAACAGAAGAATATGAGGTAGTCTGTGTCATATGCCAGATGAGCACTACAAATAATAAATGCCCTCAGACTTCAGGAAAGTTCAGTGAAGAGGGCCATGATGTTTGGAGACTACTTCATAGAGAAAGGAAAACTTGGACTGGGAATTGAAGGAGGAGTAGAACATAGACAAATAGAAAGACACAGATCCAATCCAGGAAGATGCACTAAGAAAGAAAAGTTAGATTTACTCTAGGAGTGATAGATTAGTTTGATGAGGCATTCTCTCAGTGGGAGTAGAAAAAATGAAATCGGGGAACTAGAAAGTGAGGGAGATGGTAGAGACTGTCCAGTCTGGGATAAGACGTTGGACTATGGGGGAAGCTATTGAAACTCTATGGGCAGGATTTTGACATAAAAAAATCAATGTTTATAAAGATTAATTTTCAAACCATGTGTAGAATGGGATGTGAGAGAGAAAAAGTAGTCAAGCAGTAAAGTAGCCTAAGTATAAATAAAAATTCAAAATTAAAATTAAAAAAATTCACATGAAGAGAAGAAAGCGATAAATTTTGAAGAATTGACAGGACAAGATAACTCATTGGACACAGGGGCTCAGATAGCTTAAAGCAAAATTCCTAGGTGTCGAGCTTTAAAAAAATGATGGCATCATTAACTGAAATAGCAAAGTTCAGAGAAGGGTTTTTTTTTTTTTTTTGAGAGAAGATGATTAGTTTTGTGTTACATGGTTTTGGTTTGCAGCATCAGTGGGATGCTTAGAGATGCCCATCAGACAGCTGGAGACGTGCAAATGCATTTTAAGTTTAGCAGAGCTAGTGTTACAGATTAGAGAGGATGGCATGTGCGGGTGAGAGGCAAAATCATGTGTGGGTCAGAGATTTACAGCTCTTAGCAAAATGCCTGGCACATGTTTATCTCAATACATATTTATCGAATGAAAACAAAATTTTTAACCAGAATACTTTGGGTTGGAAGTGACAGAAATGCATCAGAAACTGACTTAAAGTTTGAATGTATTGGGTCATGTAACAAAGAAATCCAGGAACAGCGCTGGCTTTAGGCATGACTGGATCAATATACTTACAGGGTTAGGGATTTCTAACTCTCAACTCTGCTTTGTTGTGTGTTAGCTCTTGTTCTTTGTGAGCTCCCTGCTTTTCTGACACATTCTACCAGCTTAGCCAACTCTGCAGAAAGAAAGCTCATTTTTTTTTTTCCACCAAGTTCTGAGTAACTACCAGGATTCAGTCTGCCAGGAAAAACTTGAAACATTCCACCATTCCTGAACCATTCGCTGTGATTCTGATGAACTAGGCTCTTCCCTAGAATCAGGGGCAGTGAGCATAGTGCTCACCAGCATACACTTAAACAAAACCTAAGGGGATAAGGAGGAGGTTAGATTCAAAGAAAATCAGGGTTCTTTTGCCAAAAGAGAGGAGTATGGATGCTAGGCTGGTAAATTTAATATATGTCCCCTATTGGAATTAGGAGGAAGGCTAACGAGCTAAAGCCTGGACCTAGAGTATACTCACATTTCCAAGGCAGGAAGAAGGTGGGGACAGTGAAGGGGAAACAAATGAATCCACAGGGAAGGCTTATGGATGACCACGAAGCACAGACGGGAGCTAATCGGGTCCATTTCTTGATATGTGACTTCTGTGTAAGGCTTCTCCAGACACGACAGGACCCCAAAATGGCATGTTCCCTTGGATAAAATGTAACAATATCTCCATCCCTGCAGGGTAGGTTCTTTTTCAGTAATTTAGACATACAGCAAAACATTCAAAAGTCGAGACTGTAGTAAAATAATAGCTACTTTTACCATTCTTATGTCTTTGGTTACCAGATTCAAAGCATGTGATTTCGACATTTTAAGAAGAGACAACATCCTAAATAAATGATTTTCTTTCTGGCTTTTATAGCTCAGGGTTTTCAAAGGGAAGTGGACACATGTCAGTACCTAATGATTCAAAGCTTCTATTTCTTTATTTTCTTTATATATTTTAAGGCCTACCCAGTCATTGCTTAGCTTCAGCCCAGCAAAAGCTGGCCTTGCTCTATTGTCACTCTGCCTTTCAGCTTCCACTGTGCATTCTGCTTCCACCTCTGTGAGGTGTAAGTCCTGCCACAGTCTAGTCAGTGGAGGATGGGTCAGTACTCCTGCTTCAGTGACTGTGTGGCCACAGTCAGAAAATATTTTGTTTGGTCATCAGAGCTCTCAGGACCATTACTGGCATATAGTAAGTGCTCAACAAATATATGTGGTTATTAATATTACTGTCATGATTCTTATTACAAATCTACCCACTTGGCAAATGCCAGCTATCAGTGCATTACTCCATGAAGGAAACCACTCCTTTGTGATCTTATTTTTCTCCAGGAGATGCATTGTGGATCTCAAGAAAGAGTGAGTCCCTTTAGTGCTAGCCAGATCACTGTTCTTTGATGTGAACCTCACGTTCAATATTTTACTTTTTGAATATTCCTTCTTGTTTCTGCTTTTAGTCATTTCAATGCATTTTGGTTTGGTTCCACATTTTATAGTTTTTAGGGCTATATGGTGCCCCCTGCCAAGTGCTTGTATGTTTGGCTTATTTCTTAAGACACATTTACTATATGAAAAGTGTAAAATTTAAAATACAGCATATTTTTGTACATGGGTGTGTTTCTATATATGTGTGTACCTATATATATACACACATATACGTATATGCATATACTCACATATGTACAACCATCAGTTGTTACCTAAAGCTTTCATGAGAATGAGGTTTTAGGCATGCCATTTCTTGTGAAGAAAATCGTTTAGCAGATATCTCAAGGATGTATTTTTTCTTGAAAAATATACTCATAACAACAGCTGTGATTATTCCCGTTTATTTTGTCCTTACCATGTGCTGAGAACTGTGCTAAGTAATTTACATACATTGTCTTATTTCATTTCACCTCTACAGTAACCCTATGGGTTGGTATCAACCCTTTTGTCTTTTTGTTTTTGTTTTTTTGAGATGGAGTTTCACTCTTGTTGCCCAGGCTGGAGTGCAGTAGCACAATCTTGGCTCACTGCAACCTCTGCCTCCTGGGTTCAAGCAATTCTCCTGCTTCAGCCTCCTGAGTAGCTGGGATTATAGGCGTGTGTCACCACGCCCGTCTAATTTTTGTATTTTTTCAGTAGTGACAGGGTTTCACCATGTTGGCCAGGCTGGTCTCGAACTCCTAACCTCAGATGACCCACCCACCTTGGCCTCCCAAAGTGCTGCGATTACAGGCATGAGCCACCGCGCCTGGCCCTCATCCCTTTTTTATATGTGTGGGTGCTGAGAAGCTGAGATGTGAATTATAGCCAGGCCCCATATGGAGGTGTATCTGTATAAACTATAAAAACATGTTATAGGTTTTAGGGCTATGTAGTCACCCCTCCTAAGTGCTTATATGCTTGACTTATTTATTATGACCCATTTAGTTTATGCAAATTGTGAAATCTAAAATATAGTACATTTCTGTACATTGGTGTTTTTCTATATATGTATACATATGTATATACACACACATATGCATACACTCACATGTGTGCAACCACCAGTTCTTACCTAACATTTTAATTAGAGTGAGGTTGTGATCATGCTCTTACTGATTGCGTGAACTGCTGCCTGCCAATTCCATTGCTCTTCACTCCATTGGAAACAGCTCCATACTTCAATTAAAGCACCATATGAGCCAGAAAACCACTATTAATAAAAAATATTCCGTGGAATAGAAAGCATTTATTAAATTGCTATTCTGATTTAGTTTTGTGATGCTTGGATATTAGAATATGAGATCAATAGCCATTTATATGAAAGGGGTTTGTAAAACATTTTTATATACATTTTTTATTTTTTCTGACGATTTTTTAGCATGCATGTTTTACTCTCCTAGATGATTATTTTTTCATGTTGTGCTACAATTTAAAAAAAAATTTTTTATTCTTTTGGGTAATACCAATGGTCTCTCTAGGGAATTTAAAAAGAGTCTGGATATATTGCATAAATGGTGTATTTCTAGACTAGCACTAATGACTGGGAAATACAGTGACTTTGAGAGCATGCCCTGCAAAAATGCTTGTGGTGAAATGCAGATTGCTCCAATTTCCTGCTGAAATGTCCATCTCTGCAGGGAGTGCTACTTTCCAGGGTTATACCATCAGAAATCAATTCTGCTCATGGAGATTATTAAAGACTCAGAGCAAATACCAAGTCCGAAATCAATGTGATGTGATTATACTTATCTGTATAAGTACCGACAATTTTTGGTCACCAAGAAATTATATGAATTTTAAAAAATGGTTTAGGTGAGACTTAGCCATCAGAAACTAATTTGATTTCTAAGAGAGAATATTTAGAATGTAGATTTTAGCAAGCACCATAATATATAAGACAAGTACACTATATGTCTGTTTCTTATTTGATAAGAACTGTGCTGTTCTTTCTTTAAAACTGCAGTTTACAAAATATGTCGTAACTTAAACTGGCATATATAAGCGTGATGTGGCAAATGTTCCTCAGCAAATTTTCAAGGGATTGGAACATTTCCCAACCTTTTCCAAGCAAAGATATAAAGTATATTCTTTTGGAATCCCAAAGGAAGATATTATTAAATACAAATGGAGAGAATTTTGAAATTATTGAACAGGCTGTTTATATTTCTTCCCGATCCAAAGTTTTAGTATTATTATTTTCAATGGGTCATCAGATTTTACAGAGAAAGATTAATTTTTTAAAAAACTTTTGTTACATTTGGAAAATTTTGGATTGCAACACTTCTAGATTCAGAGATATTCCTAGAGCCTAAAATCAAATATCTGTATTTCTCCAGATTAATTTTGTTTGGGGTATTATGATATAGTTGCAAGGAAAAAAGTACTCATCACATCCTTTCACTGTATTTTCTTTTCCAAAAATGAACCCAAATAGTTGAAATCTAAGATAGTGAATAGAATTTGAACCATTTCAGTGATAAACAATATAACTGTTGAAACAAAGCTAACATGTACATATCCAAGAAAAATTTCCAGGCACATGTCTATTTTCAGTCTTGTCTAGGTTTATCCCATTTATGCCAGGTAAAGATCAAGTTTTGTTTTTGTTGTTTTTGGTCTAATGCAAAGAATATCTTAAGAACGCATTCTTTGGCAGCTTATTATACACTGTACATTAGCCCCAATATTTTATTTTATTCTCATCATTCTCTGAAGCAGAGGTTTCGAACAAATGTCTCCAGGGCTTGAGGGGAAGTATGTGACTGAAGGTGGGGATTGTTGCAAACTGATTCCCTGTTTGAAATGATCAGCAGCTACTCAGCTTCAGCAGAGTGTCGGTAGATGGAAATTTAAAGCCAGCGTGGTTAGGATTTTCTAATTTTTTTTTTTTTTTTTTTTTGAGATGGAGTCTGGCTCTGTCGCCCAGGCTGGAATGCAGTGGTGCAATCGCTCGGCTCACTGCAAGCTCTGCCTCCCGGGTTCACGCCACTCTCCTGCCTCAGCCTCCCGAGTAGCTGGGACTACAGGCGCCCGCCACTATGCCCGGCTAAATTTTTGTGTTTTTAGTAGAGACGGGGTTTCACTGTGTTAGCCAGGATGGTCTCGATCTCCTGACCTCGTGATCCGCCCGCCTCGGCCTCCCAAAGTGCTGGGATTACAGGCTTGAGCCACTGTGCCCGGCCAGGACTTTCTAATTTTTTAAAAGGAAATATAAATTCCTTTATTATTATGATTAATGTGAAATATTCTGATTTCTATATGCTATGGACTAATTAAATTTTTAAAAATAATGCATAGACTGATAAAACATATCTGTGAGCCACATGTGACCCGAGGATCACCGATCATCAAATTCTTGACTAAAGCATGACACCATATGACATCCTTATCAAATAATATTTATTGAGATCTTGAGTGTTCTCTGGCAGGTCTTCTGATGTTTGTTAGCAGTGGCTTGCTCTGCCTGGTTCTTTGCTCCTGAATCTCCATTTCCCTTAATTAATTCCATTTTATTGCCTAAGGATGAAATTCTTGAATTAAAAAGAAATAGTTTGACATCGTATAAAGCCCATGTATTAGTCCATTCTCTCGCTGCTATTAAAAACTACCTGAGGCTGGGTCGTTTATAAAGAAAAGAGGTTTAATTGACTCACAGTTCCACAGGCTTAACAGGAAGCATGGCTTGGAGGCCTCCGGAAACTTACGATCATGGCAGAAGGGGAAGGAGAAGCAAAGCATGTCTTCTCATGGCAACAGAAAAGAGAGAGAGAGAAGGGGGAAGTGCCCACACTTTGAAGCCATCAGATCTCATGAAAACTCACTCACAATCACTAAAATAACAAGGGGGCAATCTGGCCCCATGATCCAATCGCCTCCCATCAATCCCCTCCCTGACACATGGAGATTACAATTTGACATGAGATTTGGATGGGGACACAGAACTAAACTCTATCAGCCCACATAAGAGTCCTTGATCTTATTATTAATCTAGTGCTGTTATCAAGGATTCTTTCTTCTTCCTGAGAAAAGTCTTTATCTTATATTCCACTTTTAGAGATTTGTACTCTGTCTTATTTACTGTTCCTAAAAAATCACACCCAGAACACAAGCCTTTATAGGATTGGGGCTTCCATTGATAAACTTGGTGTGGTTAGGGTTTAATGTTCACCCCTTTTTCTGCAAGCTTATAGTTTGAGCCCTTCAGTTATTTAACAGGCCTCATTGATGCCAATTTCCTGACTTCCTCAATCTTCATTGTCTCTTTCTAAAATTTCTTGATTTTCAAGTCTCTTTGTTTCATGTTGATATCAACGATATCCCAGTGACTTGCCTTTCCAGTTTTTGTTTGTTTGTTTGTTTGTTTTTTCTGGATTCTGGGTTCTACATGCCTGGCTGGACTTTTAGTTACAGCTCTTTCCGCCTCAGTGGTGAAGTTGCTTCTTGGCTGTCTCAGCTTCCAGACATTGCTCTAATTAACCCATTCATATCTGTGGTAGCATCAGGCAAAACTCCTTGGGAAGGTATTACTTATAGAACTGCTTTTATTATGGAAACACTGTAAACAAAAACAAGGAGGAATAAAACCTTGCTCTCTTTATGTCCTCATGCAATTCAAATGGACTTAATTGTTCTTATCCGAAAGTTACTGTGCATGTAACGTATATGATAAAGTAGATTGGTGGTTATTTCATTAGTATAGTCCATTGATACAAGAAAAGGAGTGATATTTTTTAAATTTCCTGCTGATTTATGAAAGAATAAATGCTAGTGCTAGTTGAATAAGGTAACAACCTATTAAAATGCTCTTGTAGAGTTGAAAGAGAAGAGTTAGAGGTTATTAGAATGATTAGGATATTAACTGTTAAAATTCCCTTTTAGAGTGTCACATCACTTTGGGATTATTCTCAAATATGGTAATCCATAATATATTATAATTTGAATCAGTGAACTTGAAGAACAGCCCCAAAGAACTGAACATTGATATGGAAATTTTCTTTGAAAACTAGGTTTTAAATTCCAAATTCCAGAAAGCTTAAACTGATTTTCATGGAACTTCCATCAATCATGTCATGTTGATTCATTTTGTTTTTGAGGAAAGACGAATATTATCAATGAATTGTTTCATCCTTCTTTTGTCTTTTCTTTGCCCACCTGTATGAGATTGAAAAGAGTGAACAGTAAATTGCCAAAAAGCTTTGAACCTGATGTATGTCAAGAGCATAAGTAAATTCTCCATTAAAGATATTTGAAGGTTGCATCCAAAATGTTGATTGAGTATGCTCCAGGAACTTTAATTACAATGATGTAGCAAACAAAATTCTCGAATTGTTGATTGTAAATTGAGCCTTCTCTGGCTTCATATATTGTGTACCATGTCCTGTAAAAGCTTGGTTCAGAAGATAGAGAAGTTCCTATTTCAAAGTATGTCAAAGAGATACATAAACATACAAATAATAATATGTGTATGTATGGAAGTACAATGTGAAAAATATACATGGACATGTATTAGTATTCACATATGTATCACGGTATTCTGTGGCAAATGGGCTACACATTAGTTGGTTTGACTGTGTGTCCTCTTTTTATTGCTTATCTCTGGAAATCTTTGGTAAGATTCCATAGCACTTGGGCTTTGGTTTGTAAGAACTTAATGTTTGATGGCATGGGGATATGGCATGGGTGTATGTTTGGAATCTTCAAGTAATAGTGATTATAAGGAAATATGACTTTAAACAAAATCAAAGAGAACCAGACATGAGACATGTCTTTGAATGTTGTCTTCATAGTAATACCTTGGAAGCTATGCATTTAATCCAGAGGGCTTTCATGAACAGTTTTGCATATATTTGGGAATTGTCCTTTTAAGTTGTAAGTATGTCTTAAAATTATTTTCAGTGGTGGCAATTATTCACCCTTTCAAGATAAATGTGATCTTCAAAAAGAGTAAAATGATACAGGACGTCAATGCTGAAAAATAAGATAAGCTATAAAAACAGATAATATGGCTTGTGAATTTTTTTAAACACACAGGTTTCAGATAATGAGGCTACTTTTCTTATATAACCAGTAAGAGAGTTGTGCATGCAATTCTTTTTTTAAAAAAAAAGAAATTCAAACATGTTCTGGGCAACATCAGTGTCAATGAATAAGTACATGTTTTTCCAAAGTGATTTTTTAAGGTAAAACACTTATTTGGGTATATAAGTTAATTAATTTTTATTTTTCTGCTTCCTGGAGACAGTAGTAGTAGTGAGGAGATAAATATGAATAGAGACAACATAACATACAAAGACTACTGCTAGGGTTGCCAGATAAAGGGTTGGATGCCCAGTTGAATTAGAATTTCAGAGAGACAACAAATAATTTTTAGTCTAATTTTGTAAGTATGTTCAATTCAATATTTGGACATACTGATGCTAAAAAAATTCTTTGTTGAAATTCAGGTTTAATGGGAATCTCTTATTTTAAGTTGCTAAATCTGGCAACCCCCTTAATGTTTATCAGTAGTTACATTTATTTTATTTTATTTTATTATTTTATTTTATGTTTGGAGAAACACCTGTAGAATATCTTCTATGTAACGATGTGACCCTATGTCTTGTGGAAGTTACAGAGTACATGCCTTCCTCAGAGTCTACACTTTAGCAGAGAAAATAAGAAATGTGTGGTTAACCATGTTTTGAGAGAAATTGAAGTGAGTGCTCCAGGAGAAGTACAATGACCATTCAGAGATAAAGAGGTTACTTCTGGTTGAGAAAACCATGGAAGGGACAATTGAGTTGGTATTAACATTAGCCCGAAAGGATTAACAGGTTTTTACCCACCTGGAGATAGGGAGGAAAGGGCACATCCAGGTAAGAGAGCAGCACTGGAAAACTCATTCATTTGGAAAATGATTGGGTGTATTTAAGGAACTACAGTTTGTTTAGAGCAGTGGTCCTCAAACTTCAGCACACATCAGAGTCATCTAGAAGACTTGTTAAAAATACAAGTTTTTGGGACCCCTAACTAGACTTTCTGGCTCAGTAGGTCCCTATGGGGAAATAATGTGCATTTTTAACAAGTTCTCAGGTGATGCTGATGCTGCCAGTATGTGGACCACAGTTAGGGAACCATGAAATAGAATGCAGCTCTGGGAACTAGTGGAAGATGAGGTTGGGAAGTTGGTTGGGGTCCTGAGGGCCTTGTCTGTCTTGCTCAGGAGCTTGAGTTTTGTTTAATAGGCAGTGGGGAGCCATTAAAGGCTGGTGATCAAGGTGACGTAAAAGAGTTGTACTTCAGAAATATTTATCTGGTGGTAGTGTATGGGATTGATTGAAAGGAGTAGCAACAGACTAGAGAAAAAAGGCTAGGTAAGTAGCTATTACATTAGACAGAACAGGAAGTCAAAAGCCCAAACTGGAGAGGTAATATCAGAATGGACGGATGCTTCTAAGAACTACTTGTTATCTGTATAAGTGTTAGAGAATCAGACAGTAGATTTTCTTTAGCAGACTCTTTCTTCCTGAGAAGCCAGTTTCAAAATTGATAAGAATTTGGTTTTCCAAGATTGCTTAAAGTTTTGAGAAAATAGTTACTGAAGTTTTTAAATTAAATAAGCAGCTTTTGCCTGTTTGGTTACAACAGAACTTTCTCATTAAACAGTAATCAGTTAAAGTACGGGCTGTTTTTTATTAAAACAGAATGGAATACTTGCACGCAGCACAAAGGTCAATGCATAAAGCTGAACAGAAAAATTGATAGACACACAATGTGGTTTCACAGATTGTGTCATTGACATCTTATTTCAATTCACAAGGAATACATCCTGTGTCTTTAAGACGTATTTCTGAGGGCAGCTCTATTTTCTATACTCAATTATTTATTTAACTCCTATTTAGTTATAACATTTCTTATAGGCCAATATCTGCCAGAACCTATCATAGGATCTGATTTAGATATATAAACAAAGTAAAACATTCCTTTCTTAGGAGCGACATTTAAATGAGCTAAAAACTGATATGGAAGGGGTGTTGAAGAATCACAATCAATGCTCGTCACCAACTCCACTAACCATGATTAGCATTGCTGAAAATTAGCTCTGTTGCTGCCGACATGAAACTTACTAATTTTCACCCCTGTTTCTTAGTAAATTTTAATTAGTTTTTTTCTGTGAAAATTCTATGTGTATTTCCAAAAACAACATGGGAAAGATATAAAGAATAACATAATGATCACACGTAATTACATAATCTTACCAATCAGAGAAACATTAAACACTTTGGTGTATATGCCTCCCTATAGTATATATGATTTTGTGACCCGATTTTTGTTAACATCATATAAACTTTCTTATGCCAATTATTATTCTTTGAAAACACAGTTTATATAGTGTCATATAAAATATAATAAGTTACTACATAAGTAAAAATATTAGGTGTCTTTCAGTTTTTACTATGTTAAATATTTCTGCAAAATATATCTTTATATCTGAATCTTTCTGCTCTTCTTTGACGGTTTATTTCTATCAGATAATTTCATATACTAAGCTGGTTTACTACAGAAACATAAAGTGGAAAAAAGACACCTTATTCAACATATGGTGCTGGGATAACAGCAAGCCACATGTAGAAGAATGAAACTGGTCCTCATCTCTCACCTTATATAAAAATCAACTCAAGATGGTTCAAAGACTTAAATCTAAGGCCTGAAACCCTAAAAATTCTGGAAGATAACATCGGGAAAACTCTTCTAATTGGTGTAGTCAAAGAATTCATGACCAAGAACCCAAAAGCAAATGCAAACATAAATGATTGGGACCTAATTAAAATAAAAAGCTTCTGCTCAGTAAAAGAAATAATCGTCAGACAACACACAGAGTGGGAGAAAATATTTGCAAACTATGCATCTGACAAACGACTAACATCCAGAATTATCGGGGGAAATTCAGCCAGATATCGGGCAAAATTCACCCCCAATATTTCACATAGGTTCTTTTCTATTTTCCCTAAGTGTTGAACAGTCTGAGAAATAAAGGGACAGAGTACAAAAGAGAGAAATTTTTAAGCTGGGTGTCCAGGGGAGACATCACATGTCAGCAGGTTCCGTGATGCCCCACAAGCCACAAAACCAGCAAGTTTTTTTAGTGATTTTCAAAAGGGGAGGGAGTGTACGAATAGAGTGTGGGTCACAGAGATCACAAGGCAAATGGAGGCAGGGCGAGATCACAGGACCACAGGACCAGGGCGAAATTAAAATTGCTAATGAAGTTTGGGGCACGCATTGTCATTGATAACATCTTATCAGGAGACAGGGTTTGAGAGCAACTGGTCTGACCACAATTTATTAGGTGGGAATTTCCTCATCCTAATAAGCCTGGGAGTGCTATGGGAGACTGGGGCTTATTTCATCCCTACAGCTGCAACCATAAAAGACGGCTGCCCCTGAAGCGGCCATTTCAGAGGCCTACCCTCAGGGATGCATTCTCTTTCTCAGGGATGTTCCTTGCTGAGAAAAAGAATTCAGGGATATTTCTCCCATTTGCTTTTGAAAGAAGAGAAATATGGCTCTGTTCTGCCCGGCTCAGCAGTCAGAGTTTATAAGGTTATCTCTCTTGTTCCCTGTACATTGCTGTTATCCTGTTCTTTTTTCAAGGTGCCCAGATTTCATATTGTTTAAACACACATGCTCTACAAACAATTTGTACAGTTAACACAATCATCACAGGGTCCTGAGGCGACATACATCCTCCTCAGCTTACGAAAATGACGGGATTAAGAGATTAAAGTAAAGACAGGCATAGGAAATCACAAGGGTATTGACTGGGGAAGTGATAGTTGTCCATGAAATCTTCACAATTTATGTTCAGAGATTCAGTAAAGACAGGCGTAAGACATTATAAAAGTATTAATTTGGGGAACTAATAAATGTCCTTGAAATCTTCACCATCCACGTTCTTCTGCCATGGCTTCAGCCGGTCCTTCCATTCGGGGTCCCTGACTTCCTACAACACAGAATCTTCAAGGAACTCAAAGAAATCAGCAAGGAAAAAACAATCCTATCAAAAAGTGGGCAAAGGGCATGAATGAACAATTCTCAAAAGAAGATATACAAATAGCCAACAAACATATGAAAAAATCCTCAACATCACTAATTATCAGGGAAATGCAAATTAAAACCACAATGAGATACCACCTTACTTCTGTAAGAGTGGCAACAATTTAAAAAAATTAAAAATATTATTAAATGTTGGCATGGATGTGGTAAAAAGGGAATACTTTTACACTGCTAGTGGGAATGTAAACTAGTATAATCACTGTGGAAAACACTATGGAGATTCCTTAAATAACTAAAAATAGAATACCATTTAATCCACTACTGGGTATCTACCCAAAGGAAAAAATGTCATTGTATAAAAAAGGCACATGCACATGCATGTTTATAGCAGCACAACTTGCAATTGCAGAAGTATGGAACCAACTTAAATACCCATCAACCAACGAATGGATAAAGAAAATATATTATGTATACAACATGGAATACTACTCAGCCATAAAATGGAATGAAATAATGGCATTTGCAGCAACTTGGATGGAGTTGGAGACCATTATTCTAAGTGAAGTAACTCAGGGATGGAAAGCCAAATATCATATATTCTCACTTACAAGTGGAAGCTAAACTATGAGGGTACAAAGGCATAAGAATGATATAAGGGACTTTAGGGACTCAGGCGGAAGTGTTGGAGGGGGATGAGGACTAAAAGACTACGTGTTGGGTACAGTACACACTGCTAGAGTGACAGGTCCACCAAAATCTCAGAAATCACCACTAATGAACTTATCCATGTAAACAGAAACCAACTCTTCCCCAAAAACTATTGAAATAAAAAAGGAATCAAATGCTATCTTTAAAAAGATAAATGAATAATTTATTGTTAGATACAACATTTTAATGCAGTTTGGATCAGGGCTTTCCAACATGTTTCACTTCAGTGCACATAGAAAACCACAGAGATTGCTCACAGCTTGAGGTGAAGGAGGTCAGTATTTTGACTGTCTGTAACCAATAACTACATACTCAGGCTGAGGCCAGATTATCAAGGTTTTTTATTCTGTCCTTGGCATTCTTGTTTGTTGATAGCTTATGCTTGTAGAAGGGGAGACTAATTTCACAGTATTAATTATTAATATATCATTACATCTAGATTTGTAAAATGTATTCATGCCTTACTTTGTATCAAATGGACATAGGTTATGATTGAAATATTTAGGGTGGCTAAAATATTGATTTGTTAGCCTATTTAATGGCAAAATTAATGCACTGATTTTTAAAAGGTAGATTATCTTTGTGACAGCAAGCTCTGATCATTCATTTTGGATTTTTTAAGAGTAATTTGGTGGAGGATCATCTAAATTACTTAGATTTTTGGACATCTTATGCCTTCAAATACCTTTCCATAGTTAAATACCCCCTTTGAAGTTATTATGCTTATAAAATTTCCAAGCCATTCACTAAAATCAAGTTCATAACATGAATTGGAGGGATTTAATGGGTGGATCATATAGTGAGTTACTCCTGGATCACTCAACAGATTGGAAACTGTGAGTAGATCACAAAGATTCATGCAAGCAGGATTTAAATCTTTCTGGTTTTCACTGTTGTATGCTTTTCTCTCAGAAAAAAATCAGTTTTTTAAAAATAACTGATAAAAATCAACCCTTTCCATGACTTGTGAGCTTCCCATCCGATCTGCACCAATTCCACTCCTTTGTCAATTTGGTTGGTGTCCACAACCCTCCACTCCCTAGTTGTCATGAAACTGAGAAAACCGAGTTGCCTCTTTTGAGGGAAAATATAAGGGAATCTAGACTAGGAAGTTACAAGCAGCAGAAAAATGTGATAGTTTATTGATCCAATTCTATCAAACATTATATAACAGGCAGAAAAAGGAGAGCACATTCTAATGACTACTTAGATCTGAGAATTATTGGCTTTGCAAAGATTTTAGAGATCCTCCTTCTTAACCTAATTGTTTTGTCAGTGAGAAATCTAAAACCTTGAGTCATTCAACTCATTTAGGATCATCCAATAGCTTTAGGATCATCCAAGAGCTGAGGACCTACATCTCCTATGTGGCCATACAGCTGTGAAGAAAGGAATGTCTACACTTGTAATAAATGTCTGTGGTATGAAGAGAAGCTATATATGACTAGATGGTTGGGGGGGAGTAAAAAAGTTCGCTTATTGGCTATTTTATCCTATTGAAGAAGAAATATGATTTTTTTTTTTTTTACAATTCTTTTCAGCCTGGTCATCATCTAAATTCTTTCCTTGCCAAAAGTGTTTAGTTCCATCTGTTTCATCTAGTTTCCCATGGATACAGAGCTCTAATTGTATAACAAAATCCAAAGGGAAATTGGGTTTGCTTACGGAAAATCTCTTTGTGACAAACTTTGCAAAAAGTTTTGTCCTATAAATTGAGATGTGCTTATATTAGTAATATTATGGATATAAGATGTATCACTTAGACACTGAGCCTTTAAAGTAATTTAAAGTGATTAACTTTAAATGGGGTTTTCAGATCTAGATGGCTTTTACTCTCACAGAATATTTTCAAAATATTTTAAATCTATGGTCTAATGTGATTGGGAAAATCTGAATATTACTTTCATGTGTTCTTCTGCATACTTCCTTAAAGTAGTCTGGGTTAGTTTGCTGAGAATGATGGTTTCCAGCTTCATCCATGTCCCTGCAAAGGGCATGAACTCACCCTTTTTATGGCTGCATAGTATTCCATGGTGTATATGTACCACATTTTCTTTATCCAGTCTATCACTGATGGGCATTTGGGTTGGTTACAAGTCTTTGCTATTGTGAATAGTGCTGTAATAAACATACATGTGCATGTGTCTTTATAGTAGAATGATTTATAATTCTTTGGGTGTATACCCAGTAATGGGATTGCTGGGTCAAATGGTATATCTGATTCTAGATCCTTGAAGAATGGCCACACTGTCCTCCACAATGGTTGAACAAATTTACACTCCCACGAACAGTGTAAAAGGGTTCCTATTTCTCCACATCTTCTCCAGTATCTGTTGTTTCCTGACTTTTTAATGATCTCCATTCTAACTGGTGTGAAATGGTATCTCATTGTGGTTTTGATTTGCATTTCTCTAATGACCAGTGATGATTAGCTTTTTTTCATATGTTTGTTGGCTGCATAAATGTCTTCTTTTGAAAAGTGTCTGTTCATTTCCTTTGCCCACTTTTTGATGGGGTTGTTGAAAACCAAACACCACATGTTCTCATTCATGTTGAACAATGAGAACACGTGGACACAGGGAGGGGAACATCACACACTGGGCTTATCGTGGGGTGGGGGGCTAGGGGAGGGATAGCATTAGGAGAAATGCCTAATGTAGATGATGGGTTGATGGGTGCAGCAAGCCACCATGGCATGTGTATACCTATGTAACAAACCTGCACATTCTGCACATGTATCCCAGAACTTAAAGTTTTGTTTTTTTTTTTAAGTAGTTTGGGTTAGCCAGAGGCTCTTCTCCACTTTAAGGTTATAAAGAAATGTAGTTAGAGTCAAAAATTAGTAGAAAGGGAGGATGAGAAGTGAACAGGACAAATGGTTGCATGCTTTATGTTCTAGGGCTCCTTGGCCTTTTCCCAGCTGGGTGAACATCTGCAGCAGCATGGTCAGGAAATTTGTCTTAGTCTTGGAAATCTCAAAGGATGCAGCCCAGCCTCTGTGCGGGTGATCCATATTTTAATTAGCTGGGATTGTTTCCAGTGTCTCCCTGGGGAATCTCCTCCCTTTTAATAAGGCTAGCTTAGCATAAATAGGATCCATCTGAGAATGAACCAGAAGTCTTGGCTTTGCTCTGAGCCCAACTGCAATAATATAATAATACTGTCATGGCTTGTATTAGAATCCTAAGTTCACCCTCTTCTAAGCTGAAAGTAGCCATATCAAAATTAGCCTGTAGTGTTAGAAGAGTCAGGCAGGAAGTACACAACTACTATTCACTTTTTCCATTGACAGACATAAAGTTGAATTTATATATTTTTTGTTGTATCAAAAAAGTGCCCTTGCCTCTGCATCACTGGGCATGGAGTCTTCTTAAGCATTAAGAGTTCACATTTGATGTTTGTAGAAGTGTTGCATGAAATCCCTGCTATCTTTCTTCCTGCAGAACAGCCAAATTTGATATGAATGACCATCAAAATCAGAAGGCTAGGCATCGTGGCTCATACCTGTAAACCCAGCCCTTTGGAAAGCTGAGGAAGGAGGATTGCTGGAGCCCAGGAATTTGAGATTAACCTGGGCAACATGACAAAACTCCATCTCTTCCAAAAAAAAAAAAAAAAGGCAAAAATTAGCTTGTTGTGGTGGCATGCACCTGTAGTCCCAGCTACCTGAGAGGCTGAGAGGTGGGAGGATCGCTGGAGTCCAGGAGGTCGAGGCTACAGTGAGCCATGATCGCGCCACTGGGTTCCCACCTGGGTGACAGAGAGAGACCCTGTCTCTAAATAAATAAATAATAAAATAAAATCAGAAGCAGTAATCTGGCAGTTTTTAAACCTAGTCCAGCTCAAAGATGGGCTCAGTGGCCAGCTCAGTCAAATGTAACTAGTTGCCAACATTTAAACACTGGGACATCTCACATAAGAAGACAGATTTCTAACTTCTAAAATTTGCAGAGTGTGGCAACCCTTGGCCCACATTTCTACATGACAATATCTGGCTGGGGAAGAGAAACTGGAACTTCCTCATCAGATGAATCCTGTACACTTTCATACACCACAGTTCCCCATCTGGCTGCTTTGGATGTTTATACCACCCACCTTATGCTTTCGGCACCGGATCTCAGGATATAAGCATTAGTTTCCTGAGTAGACAGCATGAGGCGCCTGCGCAGGTTAGATCTACGTTAAATCCCAGATCCTCTCTTTTCCAAAGATGGAATGTGTACAAATCTCCAAGCCTCCATGAGCTTTGGCATTTGCATCTATTAATAATGCAGGTTTCTTCCCAAGTTTGTTGTGAGCTTTAAATAAAATACCATTCATGTAGAGCCCAAATTTATGTCCTCCTCATATTAAATGCTCAGTGAATATTTATGACACCTTCCTGGTGTCATAATTTTTTTTCTGGCTATTTATATTGAAGTGAGAGTATTTGCTGCTGTTAACTTTGAAAATTTGCTTTGGAACTACTACCTCAAAGTAATCACCACTTTCAATGATAAAACACTATGGTCATCCTTGAAAACCATTGCTGTTCTTTCCTTTCCTAGATCCTGTAGACTTCTGAGAACTTGTTATATATCACCTTATAACTTTCATGTCCACTGAAAGTTGCAATTTGGCTTTGATTTGGATTCCGCTGAAGTTTGATTACTGCACACTAAAAAATTGCCCTGAAATGAAAATGAGAAGAATCAAGTAATAATTGTTCTAAGTGCAATTGAAACATTGTATCTCCTAGTCATTCTCTCTGAGCCTTAGTTTCCCCAGCCATGAAATTGGGATGACAGTGTTTTACAAAGTAGTAAATAGAGTAATGCTAGCTCCAATAGGGCATAAATCCCAAAATGACCGTGCTCAACACTATAGAAAGTTATTGATCGATCCTGTTAGAGTGGTGAGTGTTTGAAGACAGAGCAGGGCTGCTCTTCTTCATGCAGTGGCTGATGCCATCTTACAACACATCTTAAAAAGTTAAAAATCCATTCCTAGTTCCTAAAGGGAAACAGACAATGGAGAAAAATTATGTGAGAAATTATTATGGGTCAAGTTTGGAAGAGTTGCACTTTATTTCACTCATACTTAACTGCAAAAAAGTGGGCAGTATAGTCCCTCTCTATGGACAGGGGAGTACAAACACATGGAGGATGGATAGTTGTCTCTGCCACAACAAGCAATGCTGTGAGAGTTGAAACTCCACCATACCTGCTTCCTGGAGGCTTTCAGCAAGTGGTGGCTACTCTTGCTTTGCTGCTATTGCAATGGTGTTATTGTCATTATTAGGCCTTAAAGTGCCGTGAATGACTCAGTCTTTCTAACAGGAAAATTGAAATTAAATTCGATAGCCAGTGGCCTGGAATTTGAGGTTCTCTAAGAGTGGAAAGGGTAAAGTATTGGACATGACATCCTTATTTATCTGAGGACCACACTTGTCAAAATAAAGTCCTATGTTTTTTCCCACATTATAAAGTTGTCTTTATTGTCTACCATCATCTTTCCCAGCTCTTATGTGTTATAATTTTAATTGCCTATGCAGTTTAGAGTTCAAGATAAAAGCCAGAATGTGAAAATGATCTTTATGTCACTAATATACTGGTAAATCACACTTCTTTTGTTCATAAAACTTTTTTCTATTAAAAATGATTTCAACTGAAAGCAGTGAAATTGGGAAAATCCTAATTTTTCTTTGGAAAATGTCTTTGCACATCATTTCATAATGTATTTCCTCATAGCGTGGTGAGTTGGGTGCAAAGGGAGTGCGTTTAAGGCTGGTAAGTCAAGTTTGAAAGTGCTATAAATGCATTGACATGATACAAATATGTTTATTTCTAAATTAAATTCAGTTTAAGAATATAATTTAATTTTATAGGTTCCTGTGAATTTCACTTAACGAGCACATATCAATAAGCTGCTGTGGCAGGAGCTGATGAGACAAGAAAAAGGTACATTCCCTGTATATACAATCTTAGAGAAGTAAACTTTCAAAAACAACCAGAGTGACAAATGGCCCCCAAAAAAGAGACCTGTGACACTGTAGGCAAGACGTTACTCTATCTTGGGTTGACTGGGATATATCAGGAAAGGCTTCTTGTTGCTAAAGAAAAGGCAAGTAAAAGTGGCCCAGAAAGGAAAGAAAGAATATTTTAATCAGAGGAAGCAGCATATAACAAAGGTATTACGGGAAGAAGAAAAAAGCCTAAAGCAAAGAAGATGAAATTTTCTTTTTTTTTTTTTATTGCACTTTAAGTTCTAGGGTACATGTGCACAACGTGCAGGTTTGTTACATATGTATACATGTGCCATGTTGGTGTGCTGCACCCACTAACTCATCATTTATATTAGGTATATCTCTTAATGCTATCCCTCCCCTCTCCCCCAACCCCACGACAGGCCCCAGTGTGTGATGTTCCCCTTCCTGTGTCCAAGCATTCTCATTGTACAATTCCCACCTATGAGTGAGAAAATGCGGTGTTTGGTTTTTCGTCCTTGTGATAGTTTGCTGAGAATGATGGTTTGCAGCTTCATCCATGTCCCTACAAAGGACACGAACTCATCCTTTTTTATGGCTGCATAGTATTCCATGGTGTATATGTGCCGCATTTTCTTAATACAGTCCATCATTGTTGGACATTTGGGTTGGTTCCAAGTCTTTACTATTGTGAATAGTGCCGCAATAAACATACATGTGCATGTGTCTTTATAGCAGCATGACTTATAATCCTTTGGGTATATACCCAGTAATGGGATGGCTGGGTCAAATGGTATTTCTAGTTCTAGATCCTTGAGGAATCACCACACTGTCTTCCACAATGGTTGAACTAGTTTACAGTCCCACCAACAGTGTAAAAGTGTTCCTATTTCTCCACATCCTCTCCAGCACCTGTTGTTTCCTGACTTTTTAATGATTGCCATTCTAACTGGTGTGAGATGGTATCTCACTGTGGTTTTGATTTGCATTTCTCTGATGACCAGTGATGATGAGCATTTTTTCATGTGTCTGTCGACTGCATAAATGTCTTCTTTTGAGAAGTGTCTGTTCATATCCTTCGCCCACTTTTTGATGGGGTTGTTTTTTTCTCGTAAATTTGTTTGATTTCATTGTAGATTCTGGATATTAGCCCTTTGTCAGATGAGCAGATCACAAAAATTTTCTCCCATTCTGTAGGTTGCCTGTTCACTCTGATGGTAGTTTCTTTTGCTGTGCAGAAGCTCCTTAGTTTAATTAGATCCCATTTGTCATTTTTGGCTTTTGTTGCCATTGCTTTTGGTGTTTTAGACATGAAGTTCTTGCCCATGCCTATGTCCTGAATGGTATTGACTAAGTTTTCTTCTAGGGTTTTTATGGTTTTAGGTCTAACGTTTAAGTCTTTAATCCATATTGAATTAATTTTTGTATAAGGTGTAAGGTAGGGATCCAGTTTCAGCTTTCTGTATATGGGTAGCCAGTTTTCCCAGTACCATTTATTAAATAGGCAATCCTTTCCCCATTTCTTGTTTTTGTCAGGTTTGTCAAAGATCAGATGGTTGTAGATGTGTGGTATTATTTCTGAGGGCTGTGTTCTGTTCCATTGGTCTATAGCTCTGTTTTGGTACCAGTACCATGCTGTTTTGGTTACTGTAGCCTTGTAGTATAGTTTGAAGTCAGGTAGCATGATCCCTCCGGCTTTGTTCTTTTGGCTTAGGATTGTCTTGGCAATGTGGGCTCTTTTTTGGTTCCATATGAACTTTAAAGTAGTTTTTTCCAATTCTGTGAAGAAAGTCTTTCGTAGCTTGATGGGAATGGCATTGAATCTATAAATTACCTTGGACGGTATGGCCATTTTCACAATATTGATTCTTCCTATCCATGAGCATGGAATGTTCTTCCATTTGTTTGTGTCCTCTTTTATTGAGCAGTGGTTTGTAGTTCTCCTTGAAGAGGTCCTTCACATCCCTTGTAAGTTGGATTCCTAGGTATTTTATTCTCTTTGAAGCAATTGTGAATGGGAGTTCACTCAAGATTTGGCTCTCTGCCTGTTATTGGTGTATAGCAATGCTTGTGATTTTTGCACATTGATTTTGTATCCTGAGACTTTGCTGAAGTTGCTTATCAGCTTAAGGAGATTTTGGGCTGAGATGATGGGGTTTTCTAAATATACAATCATGTCATCTGCAAACAGGGACAATTTGACTTCCTCTTTTCCTAATTGAATACCCTTTCTTTCTTTCTCCTGCCTGATTGCCCTGGCTAGAACTTCCAACACTATGTTGAATAGGAGTGGTGAGAGAGGGCATCCCTGTCTTGTGCCAGTTTTCAAAGGGAATGCTTCCAGTTTTTGCCCATTCATTATGATATTGGCTGTGGGTTTGTCATAAATAGCTCTTATCATTTGGAGATACGTCCCATCAATACCTAATTTATTGAGAGTTTTTAGCATGAAGGGCTGTTGAATTTTGTCAAAGGCCTTTTCTGCATCTATTGAGATAATCATGTGGTTTTTGTCGTTGGTTCTGTTTGTATGTTGGATTACGTTTATCGATTTTCGTATGTTGAACCAGCCTTGCATCCCAGGGATGAAGCCCACTTGATCATGTTGGATAAGCTTTTTGATGTGTTGCTGGATTCAGTTTGCCCGTATTCTGTTGAGGATTTTTGCATCAGTGTTCATCAGGGATATTGGTCTAAAATTCTCTTTTTTTGTTGTGTCTCTGCTAGGCTTTGGTATTAGGATGATGCTGGCCTCATAAAATGAGTTTGGGAGGATTCCCTCTTTTTCTATTGATTAGAATAGTTTCAGAAGGAATGGTACCAGCTCCTCCTTGTACCTCTGGTAGAATTCGGCTGTGAATCCATCTGGTCCTGGACTTTTTTTGGTTGGTAGGCTATTAACTATTGCCTCAATTTCAGACCTGTTATTGGTCTATTCAGGGATTCAACTTCTTCCTGGTTTAGTCTTGGGAGGGTGTATGTGTCCAGGAATTTATCCGTTTCTTCTAGATTTTCTAGTTTATTTGCATAGAGGTGTTTATAGTATTCTCTGATGGTAGTTTGTATTTCTGTGGGATCAGTGGTGATATCCCCTTTATCATTTTTTATTGCGTCTATTTGATTCTTCTCTCTTTTCTTCTTTATTAGTATTGCTAGCGGTCAATCAATTTTATTGATCTTTTCAAAAAACCAGCTCCTGGATTCATTGATTTTTTTGAAGGGTTTTTTGTGTCTCTATTTCCTTCATTTCTGCTCTGATCTTAGTTATTTCTTGCCTTCTGCTAGCTTTTGAATGTGTTTGCTCTTGCTTCTCTAGTTCTTTTAATTGCAATGTTAGGGTGTCAATTTTAGATCTTTCCTGCTTTCTTTTATGGACATTTAGTGCTATAAGTTTCCCTCTACACACTGCTTTAAATGTGCCCCAGAGATTCTGGTATGTTGTGTCTTTGTTCTCATTGGCCTCAAAGAACATCTTTATTTCTGCCTTCATTTTGTTATGTACCCAATAGTCATTCAGAAGCAGGTTGTTCAGTTTCCATGTAGTTGAGAGGTTTTGAGTGAGTTTCTTAATCCTGAGTTCTAGTTTGATTGCACTGTGGTCTGAGAGACAGTTTGTTATAATTTCTGTTCTTTTTCATTTACTGAGGACTGCTTTATTTCCAATTATGTGGTCAATTTTGGAATAAGTGTGATGTGATGCTTAGAATTCCTGGATATCCTTGTTAACTTTCTGTCTTGTGGATCTGTCTAATGTTGACAGTGGGGTGTTAAAGTCTCCCATTATTATTGTGTGGGAGTCTAAGTCTCTTTGTAGGTCTCTAAGGACTTGCTTTATGAATCTGGGTGCCCCTGTATTGGGTGCATATATATTTAGGATAGTTAGCTCTTCTTATTGAATTGATTCCTTTACCATTATGTAATGGCCTTCTTTGTCTCTTTTGATCTTTGTTGGTTTACAGTCTGTTTTATCAGAGACTAGGATTGCAACCCCTGCCTTTGTTTTCCATTTGCTGGGTAGATCTTCCTCCATCCCTTTATTTTGAGCCTATGTGTGTCTCTGCATTTGAGATGCGTCTCCTGAATACAGCACACTGATGGGTCTTGACTCTTTATCCAATTTGCCAGTCTGTGTCTTTTAATTGGAGCATTTAGCCCATTTACATTTAAGTTTAATATTGTTATGTGTGAATTTGATCCTGTCATTATGATGTTAGCTGGTTATTTTGCTCGTTAGTTGATGCAGTTTCTTCCTAGCATCGATGGCCTTTACAGTTTGGCATGCTTTTGCAGTGGCTGGTACTGGTTGTTTCTTTCCATGTTTAGTGCTTCCTTCAGGAGCTCTTGTAGGGCAGGCCTGGTGGTGACAGAATCTCTCAGCATTTGCTTGTCTGTAAAGGATTTTATTTCTCCTTCACTTATGAAGCTTAGTTTGGCTGGATATGAAATTCTGGGTTGAAAATTCTTTTAAGAATGTTGAATATTGGCCCCCACTCTCTACTGGCTTGTAGAGTTTCTGCTGAGAGTTCTGCTTTTAGTCTGATGGGCTTCCCTTCGTGGGTAACCTGACCTTTCTCTCTGGCTGCCCTTAACATTTTTTCCTTCATTTCAACTTTGGTGAATCTGACAATTATGTGTCTTGGAGTTGCTCTTCTTGAGGAGTATCTTTGTGGCATTCTCTGTATTTCCTGAATTTGAATGTTGGCCTGCCTTGCTAGGTTGGGGAAGTTCTCCTGGATAATATCCTGCAGACTGTTTTCCAACTTGGTTCCATTCTGCCCGTCACTTTCAGGTACACCAATCAGATGTAGGTTTGGTCTTTTCACATAGTCCCATATTTCTTGGAGGCTTTGTTCATTTCTTTTTACTCTTTTTTCTCTAAACTTCTCGCTTCATTTCATTCATTTGATCTTCCATCACTGATACCCTTTCTTCCAGTTGATCCAATTGGCTACTGAAACTTGTGCATTCGTCAAGTAGTTCTTGTGCCATGGTTTTCAGCTGCATCAGGTCATTTAAGGACTTCTCTACACTGGTTATTCTAGTTAGCCATTCTTCTAATCTTTTTTCAAGGTTTTTAGCTTCTTTGCGATGGGTTCGAACTTCCTCCTTTAGCTCAGAGAAGTTTGATCATCTGAAGCCTTCTAATCTCACCTAGTTAAAGTCATTCTCCATCCAGCATTGTTCCATTGCTGGCGAGGAGCTGCCTTCCTTTGGAGGGGGAGAGGTGCTCTGATTTTTAGAATTTTCAGCTTTTCTGCTGTTTTTCCCCCATCTTTGTTGTTTTATCTACTTTTGCTCTTTGATGATTGTGACGTACAGATGGGGTTTTGGTGTGGATGTCCTTTCTGTTTGTTAGTTTTCCTTCTAACAGTCAGGACCCTCAGCTGCAGGTCTGTTGGAGTTTGCTGGACGTCCACTCCGACCCTGTTTGCCTGGGTATCAGCAGCAGAGGCTGCAGAACAGCGGATATTGGTGAACAGCAAATGTTGCTGCCTGATCGTTCCTCTGGAAGCTTCATCTCAGAGGGGTACCTGGCCATGTGAGGTATCAGTCTGCCCCTACTGGGGGGTGCCTCCCAGTTAGGCTACTAGGGGGTCAGGGACCCAGTTGAGGAGGCAGTCTGTCCATTCTCAGATATCAAACTCCATACTGGGAGAACCACTACTCTCTCAAGGGTCTTAGCAAATGGCACAGGAGGAGATTATATCCTGCACCTGGCTCAGAGGGTCCCATGCCCACAGAGCCTCGCTCATTGCTAGCACAGCAGTCTGAGATGGAACTGCAAGGCTGGGGGAGGGGTGCCCGCCATTGCTCAGGCTTGAGTAGGTAAACAAAGCGGCCTGGAAGCTCGAACTGGGTGGAGCCCACTGCAGCTCAAGGAGGCCTGCCTTCCTCTGTAGACTCCACCTCTGGGGGCGGGGCATAGCCAAACAAAAGGCAGCAGAAACCTCTGCAGACTTAAGTGTCCCTGTCTGTTAGAAGATGAAATTTTCTTATGGCCTATCATTTAGGGCCTCCATGGTAAGGGGTAGGGGCAGTGACAAGCAGGGATGCTGCAGAAATGTTATGGACCAGATTGTGAAGGGGCTTCTTAATTTGGAAACTAAACTTGGGCTTTCTCCTGAGGGAAGGGGGTAGCTTCAAAAGCAGTGATTCTCTGCTCATTAGAGTCACCTGTGAAACTTTATAAGCACTCTCTATCCCTGAGCCCATCTCAGACTAATGAAATCAGCATTTTTCATAGTGGTGCTGGGGTATTAATATGTTTAACAATCTCCCCAGATAATTTCTAATGTATGGCTAGTTGCAAACTATTCTTCTAAATGTTAGTAAGCAGAGTGTAAAGTGATGCAATGCCAACACTTTGAACTGGAGGCTCATAAAAACTGAGGCAATGTGAAGATGCAAACCTGACATGCTTTGACGTTGGAGGACAAAGAGAGTAAAACAGGTAGGATGTTCCTTAAGTTTCCAGTTTTTTGAGCTTGGAATAGATGTTGGTTAAGTTCAACAGAGTAGAAAATATGACAGGAATATGGCTTAATGAGGAAGACAGAATTTTGTCCCATTGAGCCTGAAATTCTGTGAGACACATCTAGAAGGCTCTTAGCTATACATGTCTGAAGCTCAAGAAACATTTTGGTTATATATATATATAGAGAGAGAGATGTAGAGTCACCAGCATATAATGAGAACTGAAGTCTCAGGAGTAAGCAACAATGCTTACAGAATTTGTGGTGTGAGAATTGGGATAATTACTGAGTCCTGAAAATCATCAACATTTAAGAACCAGGGAGAGGAGTTCACGAAGGAAAGCAAACAACTGGAGACAAAAGGCATTCACTGTCTGTTTAAATGCTGGGAATCTATAGTTTGTTCCATGGGAGACCTTTTAAATAATACAGAAGTTTTAAACAGCAAAATTTACTTGACACTGCAAATTTTAAAAACTAGTTTATATCCTTT
Organism: Homo sapiens; assembly: GCF_000001405.40. Classification (NCBI taxonomy): domain Eukaryota; kingdom Metazoa; phylum Chordata; class Mammalia; order Primates; family Hominidae; genus Homo; species Homo sapiens. The sequence continues at coordinate 51,282,678 of NC_000010.11, forward strand.
TACTAAATATTTCCCAATGGAAACAGCGTTCACATTTCACAAGTTTCACTTGATTACTTTCAGATTTTGTATGAGTATAAAGTGCATTAGTTTTACAAATTATACAAAAAAAAACTACCCAGGGTACCCATCTTGCTGATTAAACTTTTTTGAATTTTTATTTATTTATGTTTATAATATCAACTTTTATTTTAGATTTGGGGGGTACATGTGCAGGTTTGTTACATGGGTATGTTGTGTGATTGATGTTGAGGTTTGGGCTGACTAAACTTTTAAACCCAAGAATTTCTCCCTTTATTTGCTTTATGGCTGAATTATGAGGACAGATGCACCTTCTCTCTTAGCAAAGAGAAAAACCAAAATCTTTTTACTTACACATGACCCATATTATAAACAGCTTCTCATGCCCTGTTCAACATTTCTATATCTCTGTCCCCCAAAAGCAAACAAAAAGTTCCAATTGCCAGAACCATTGCTACTGCCACTTTAGGAGATGTTATTAAGAAACAAGGAAAATCGTGGAGAAGCATAGAAACTATAAGGAAAAAAAAACAAAAACAAAAACTAACCTTAGGGAGATAGATTCCTAGGCAAGGCTTACCTGCTGTGAGATGAAAAAAAGCCTACTAGTTACTTGGAAATGTTTTTCCCAATAAGGAAAAAAATCCCTTCTCTTGTGTTACATTGCCTGCAATTCTAGATAACTACTTTAGCTAGTTATCTAGAATAGATAACTAGATAATTACTTTAGCTGAGCAGGCATACTATTTGAAAGCAGTAAAACATGTGTCCTAGAGCTATTGGGCCATTATATTTTTTTGTGCTTTTAATCAATTTCACTGAGATCAATGGCAGTAAGGCAGTGAGTATGTGTGTGAGTAAATTAAAGATTGCTAGTTTGAGACTATTGAGCCTTTAGGGTGGTGGGACAAGACTGGAGGGGGTACCTCAGTTGAAGAGGTAGTGGAGAAGACACTGAGAGTATCTTACACTGAAGTACACTGGGAATCATGAAAGATCTTGATGGTGTCCACAAATAAAGAAAAAATTATGCAAAGAATAAACCAGCTACTTTAAAATTGTGTTATAGCTAAGTGAAATCAAAGAGTTGATAAAACTGATTTACCACACTCTGTTATGAACCACTCTTGCACCATCCACTCGAGACCCCAACTCCAGGCTAAAACCCAATTTTATCAGTAAATATTTATGCTATAAATGTGAATCTAACTGATTTTAAGTAGTCAATAAAGAAGTGAATTCTTGCTTCTAATCAACCAATTTACAAACATAGTTTAGAATGTAGTTTATCTGTAAACAGAACTGTCTGCTATACATATATAAAAATACTGAGACATGAAGAAAGAGATTTGACTGTGATGCTGGACTATAATATGAAGAATTTGGAAATAAAATATTTATAAAGTTTCTATTCCAGGTAGCAAGAAACAAGGAGAATTTTTCAAATTGCTCACATTAAATCAAGGGCTACAAAATAAAATCCGGTGAAAAGTATATGAAATAACATTATTTTTTGTAAAGCAAGAAAAGCCTTAAAAGAAAAAAGACATATTTGTGGCTCATAAAGGGAACTAGTATTTATTGCATATCTACAGGGATGAGTCCTCCAACAGCCACATTGTAAAGACATTATTATTAGCCCCACTTTACGTACTAGGAAGCTGAGGCTCAGAATGGTTACATAACTAGCCCAAGGACACAAAACTAGTACTTGACATGGCCCAAGCTAAAACTCAGGGCCGATTTTCCTCTACGTTACACTGATTTGCAAATTATTAAAATAGGTTTGTTCTGTTTTGCAAATGTATTTCAAGAAAATTCTTTCTAATACATGTATTGTCAATGCTTTATATTTTTTGTTATTAAAGGATATGTTTGAAGACACTTCCTGCAAATAAAAAAGTCTATAGTGCTTATGCATTTTTAAAGGTGTTTTGTAAAGGTTATTACTGTTAGCTTGGAAGCAAAAATACAAATCAATATCTTACTTCTATCCCAACAATTTCCTTACTTAAACTGCAGGCTTACTAGGTTTTCTGTCCACAGAGTTCATGCTGCAGGGCCATGTTTATATATATATTTTTTGTAACCATGCAGTTGAATATCTGAGATAGATAAAATAATGCCTTATATTGTGTTCTGGGTGTGGCTCCAGTGTTGTGGGTACTTTTTTTTTTTTTTTTTTTTTTAAGCTATTCTTTTTTTTTTTATTATACTTTAAGTTTTAGGGTACATGTGCACATTGTGCAGGTTAGTTACATATGTATACATGTGCCATGCTGGTGCGCTGCACCCACTAACTCGTCATCTAGCATTAGGTATATCTCCCAATGCTACCCCTCCCGCCCTCCCCCCACCCCACCACAGTCCCCAGAGTGTATATTCCCCTTCCTGTGACCATGTGATCTCATTGTTCAATTCCCACCTATGAGTGAGAATATGCGGTGTTTGGTTTTTTGTTCTTGCGATAGTTTACTGAGAATGATGGTTTTTTTTAAAAGTCTTATTTTGTTAGACATTTCCTAAGTTTTCATTGCACTGAACAATGGGTTTCTAGTTGAAGGATGTATTCTTTCAATAAATGTTTTCCCTATACTATAAAACATTATTGTTTTTTAGCACAAGAAGCAGTAGAATTCATATAGTATGTTTACTTAGGTTCACAACTTTTTTCTGTTTCTCTTCTTTTTAGTGAAAAATGAAGCTAAAAATTGGCTCAGCCCTCATTAATACAAATTTTATGACTTTGGCTTCAATATTTTATTCAGGACCTTTGCACAGGTGCTTTATCTCTAAGAAGATATCGCCCACAGGCAAAAGCAACATGATCTGTTAAAACAGTATATTTTCCTTTAGACAAGAGAGGGTAATGTGTAGGTTGTAGGAGACGACTTGATTCTGTCCTGCAATGAGTGAGACCAATAAGCTCTAGGAACTGAGATTCTGAGAAGGGAAGACTAGGACAAAATTGTAGGAGACTAAGGGGACAAATGAGAGGATGGGGAGTGTATTGGTTTACATGTTAGAAAAGTTACCACTAGCAGTACAAATAGTGGGAGATGAAAGGGCTGAGGCAAAGTGATATGCACAGAGGTGAAGAGTTCTGAAGCCGTCCCCCGCTTATGAAACTGACAGTAACTGTTCATGAAACAGGCACAGCAAATGAAGCAGGTGCAGCCGTAATTCTAGGAGGAACCTAAGGACCCAGACCCACTGGAAATGAGTTAATGGGGCTTGTGAGGTAGGGACAGCAGGTGCCTTTATTTATTTATTATTTATTTATTTATTTTGAGATGGAGTCTTGCTCTGTCATCCAGACTGGAGTGCAGTGGTGCAATCTTGGCTCACTGCAACCTCTGCCTCCCAGTTTCAAGCAATTCTTGGATCTCAGCCACCCGAGTAGCTGGGATTACAGGCCTGCCCCACCATGCCTGGTTAATTTTTGTATTTTTAGTAGCAATGGGGTTTTGCCATGTTGGCCAAGCTGGTCTTGAACTCCCGGCCTCAGGTAATCTGCCTGCCTCGGCCTCCCAAAGTGCTGGGATTACGGACATGAGCCACTGCACCTGGCCCAGCAGGAATCTTTCAAAGGCATCCTTTCATGTTTACAATAATGTGGTTTTGGCAAAGAAAGTGAGTACAGCATGGACAATTATGTATGATTGACTTCCCATCACAACATCCCTGACTATGAATCGTCCCTTTTTCTTTTCCATTTTATACCTTTTCCCTTCTTATAACATTTATTTCTTGCACCACTTTTTGTTTTTGTTCCTTTAGAAAATATTATATATTCTAACTTGAATTTCCTCTCTTTATTGCTTTTCCTCTCTTAGCTGTATGTTCACTCTTTGACTTATTTTATAATTTAATTTAACTTAAATTTTTAACTGACATATACAGTTATTATAATTGTACTTATTTATGAGGTAAATGATCAGATAACTGTAGTTAGTATATTCATCATTTCAAACATTTGTCATTTCTTTGTCCTGGGAACATTCAACATCCCCCTTTAGCTATTTGAAACTACATAATATATTATTGTTGACTATAATCCTACAGTGGTATAGAACACTAGAACTTATTCCTCCTATCTAGCTGAGAGCTAAGAATGTGGTTCAGTTCAGTAAGATACAGAGAGAGATTGTTCAAAGCCATAGTGTTTTCTTTTGTTTGTATTGTTTTGTCTTGTTGAGACAGGGTCTCACTCTGTCGCCCAGGCTGGAGTTCAGTGGCATAATCATGACTCACTGGAGCCTTGACTTTTCGGGTTTAAAGTGATCCTCCCACCTCAGCCTCCCAAGTAGCTGTGTCTACAGGCATATGCCACCACGCTTTGCTAACTTTAATATTTTTTGTAGAGATGGGATTTTTTCTGTTGCCCAGGCTGGTTTTGAACTCCTTGTCTCAAGTGGTCTTCCTACCTTGGACTCCCAAAGTGCTGGTATTACACGTATAAGCCACTGCGCCTGGCCCTATTTACATAGCCTTACACAATCTTTACAAGGTCTGGATTCCACCATTTATTCATTTGTTCATTCATTTGCTCAGGTTTGTAGAGTATTTACTGAGGGCCAGGTGGTATATAGACACTCACTATCATGGCCCTCAGCCTGAGGTCCTTGATTTGGCTTCAGAGAATATGGGAATTCACTGAAATAATTTGAGAAGATACCTGTGTGTAGTAGGATTTTTGGCTCTCAATAATTTCTTCCCATCATGTTGGTTAAGTGTCCACTGCTTCAACTCACATTAGGATCATGTCCTGGGGACAGAGCTACGGGCAGTTCAGATGAAGGTCCTGTTCACATGGAGCGTAAATTCTAGTAGAGTGAAGAGAGGAAATGATATTATTAAGGTTAAAAAGGAAACAAACCAACAATAAACAAGATAATTTCAGATTTTAATAAATCTATAAAGGGAATGTCCTGGATAGGACTGCCTTAGAGAAGGTGGTCAGGGAAAGGTTTTCTGGGAAGACCTTTAAGACAAGATTTAAATGGGGAGAAGGGGGTGATTTTGTAGGTCTGGGCCAGGCTGAGATACATATATATCTAAACAGTTATCCTCCACAGTTATTAAACTAAGAGATTTTATTATACATTTTCTCATTTATTTGCCTTTTATTTTTGCAATTATTGTTAAGAGCTTTAAAAAATTATATTGTCACTTTTTAAGATTTGTTCTTTACTCCTACAGCATAAGATAATTGGGCCAGATGATGTCTATAATACCAGGCTTTTATAAAAGAAATGCAGTATGCCATAAGATAGAGTTCTGGATCCTATGTATTTTGTACCCACAGATAATTAAAATAGCATGTGTTGATTTGTTATTCTTCATCTGTTCTTTTTTATTTCAATCATAATTTAACTGTTCCAATTACACTGCTAGAGGATTTTTTTCTTCCTATTTTTTTATTTTTTAAATTTTTTAATTTTTATTTTTTTATTATTATACTTTAAGTTTTAGGGTACATGTGCACAATGTGCAGGTTAGTTACATATGTATACATGTGCCATGCCGATGAGTGTGCTTTTCGGGAGTCACATGGAGAGGCTAAAATGCTACTTTTTTGTGGGGATTTTAAACTTCTATTGTTATGCACTGAAAGAGAGTATAAATGTGTTACTGAACAATGTATTTGCAAATATTAGGTGCTGCAGTAAAATGTAAAGAAATTTCCAAGGCCTGATTTTATGCATTTAGATTAATTATTGATGTTTCTCCTAATTCTGCTACTTGAAAATGGGTGTGAAGAACAAACTTGTTTTCAATGCAGTTTTAAAGGGACTGAGTCTTTGGTAGCTTTATGGACCCACAGTCATCAAATTTCTCATCATTTGAGGTTGTTAATCATTATGATAGTTCAAGGAGATTCTGAGTGAATAAGAAATGAAATTCTATTATTATCTTATCTTTGACTGTGAAGATATTTGACCACAAAATATTTAACTGCTTATACATCTCAACATACTCCATTGACTAGAATAATAATGAGTTTAATAAGCTGAAAAGATTACAAAAATGAATAATACTACTTAGCAGCAGTACTTTCTGAAAGAAGGAATGACAGAGGGGAGCAAAGAGGTATGTGTAGTTATTCTGTACATCTTGTATGTGGTTGTGTGGTTTAAATGCCTTTAGTTTTATTTAGAAGTAGATTTTTTTACTTCAGCACTAATTTCTGGGGTGTTTCTATATTCATGTGTTGCATGCATGATTATGTATGATATGTAAAATTATATATTAATTAATAAAGGGCTTAGTGCATAAAATAGATTTGCATGTTTAATTAGACTCTTATTATCTAGAATGGAAAGGCTAGGAAAATGACAATCAGGGAATATCATAAATGTGAACAAGAAAGTTCCACTAGATAACTAACTTTAAAAACATAATAAAAAGAAACATGTAGTACACTTGCACAGTCCAAAACAACCCATGAATGTGTCCTAACAAGTCCATGAGCAAGTCCAGGCAGCCAACTTTGCCACCATGTTGCTCCTTCTGGTTGTTCATCAACATTAATGGGCATCAGTGGTTTTTTGCTTAGGACCGCCTCTCTTACTGGGCACCACTGTCTGTTACCATGAATACTGGGAGCCATCACCTCTGGGTAGCATTGCTATTGCTTCTCCTAAGGCTACTATTGCTACTAGTACTGTCATTTGCTGTGACATTATCCAGTCACTGCTGATGCTTCCCAGTGAAGCTTGACAACAGTGGACTAGAGCCTCCAAGTGCTATAACTTCCAACGGTCTGTGGCTGAATAGAAGCTACCACTTCTCTTCCCTGAGTGCACTTTAATACCTTTAAGGAGTATCTCTGTCCAAATTAAGAGATTGTACTAGATGTATCATTTTTAACCCTGTAGGCAGCAGAGTCACCTAGGATACTTGGGAAACACAGTTTCTTGACTCTACCTAAGACTTTCTGAGTACTAATCTCTGGTGGTAGATTCCATGAGAGAGAGAGAGAGAGAGAGTTTGTGGGGTGTGTGTCTGGGTGGTGGATGGGTGGGTGTGGGTGGTTAGGTGGGTTTTTGTGTGTGTAATATTTGTAACCAGATACTCCAAGAAACATTCACACAGACAACCCAACATTGTTCTCAGACCAAATTTGAGAAACACAAGTCTAGATGGCCTTAAGGGTGCTTTAACTTCGAGACTGCATTTCACTCTGCAGCTTTAAAGTGAAGTTGTGGTAGTCTCATTCACCTTTGAATTTATATGATGTCCATGCCTCCTTTTTGGATGGTATTCTCTTTTGCAGGTTCAGTTTTTGACTTAGACACCTTTGAAACTACTTGAATTAGGGATTATTCTTTGATAATTTGCTGTCATCAAGTGAATTGAGATAAATATACATTCAGAGCATCATTATCAACTTTGAGGAAATGTAGGCACTTGTGTGTTCATGTTGGACACAGGAGGCTGAGATGAGAGGATCATTTGAACCCAGGAGTTCAAGGCTAAAGCGAACTATGATTGTGCTACTGCACTGCAGCCTGGAACACAGAGCGAGATGCTGTCTCAAAAAACAAACAAAAAAAAAGACGAGTAACAAAGAATTATACAAAATTTGTTTATAATATTTGATACCATTAAATTTACAGGTGCATCTGCATAAATGCTGCATTTTGTGCTCAGATAACCAAGGACATGGCAAAAGCTAATCAGCCTAGGAGGCAGGAGGATTACTTGAGCCCAGGATTTCCAAAAATATATATCACTATGATATATCAATTTTTTATTCTATTTTTCTTTTAGAGACTATTTTTGTAATGGTCTGACTTCTTACATCACAATATGTAGAGATCCACTTAGCTCTCAAATCTATGATAGTGTGATTCGTTTAAATAATTGTATGCTTCAGGATGTGATAGAATTGGAGTTTCTCTTATTCCTGAGTAAAGGAAAGAAAAATATTCATTTGAGTTAAAATAAATTAAGATTGTGTAATCTATGTCTCCTTAGGCCACCCCACCCCGGTAAATGTGGGATTATGTGGGCAGTCTACCAAAGACATTTCCCTAGCCCGCATATCTACCTACCACCTGTGGACTTTCTGATCTTTTTGGAGTCTCTCTGACTTATTTTGGGGAGGGTATAGGGTGTGTTTCAACTGTGTGCTCCTGAACAAGTCCCTGTGTTCTCTTAGTCACTGCCAGACGAAGAAGTGAAGAGTAAAATTCCATATTTTTCCATTTACCTATTGCATTCTTGTTTTTATAGATTTTACTTCAATATATACTATAAGCTATACTACATGTAGTTAATATTTTTACTTTAAACAGTCAATAGTCTTTGTATACGTAATAAAAATACAGTCTTCAGTGAAGTGAGCCTTTTCTGGTGTTTCTTTTACACTTATTTCTTCATAGAACACAGAAGACAACTGAGTAATAGTTATCAAAATGACTCTTCTCTTCCAAAAACTGAAGCATTGTTATGAAAGTTAATGCCCCTGACCTTTTTGCAAGAGGGTTTCTTGGTCAGTTGGTATTCTGTTGGAGACAGATGAAAGAAAACCCAGCCTGTATTGACTGAAGCCAAAAGTTAATTTAGTGGTTTTCCTACCTGTAGAATATGAGGACAAGCTGGCTTCAGACATAACTTAGTCTAGAGGCTTGACAGTTATCAAGAGGAAGTAGTTTCTCTGTCTCTGGGCCCCACTCGGATCTTCTTTTCTCATTTATCTCATTATGGTAACAAGATAACGGTAACTGTAGACATAACCAGAGTCTGCTGCTTAGGTCCAGTTGAAAAGAGACAGTGTCTCTCTTCAGCATCAAACCAAAGTTCTGGTCTGAGTCTCCTTGCTCAGATTCTATCATGTGCCCATAACTAAATCATTCACTGTAACCAATGAGAATGGCTACCTTGCAATCAATCACCGCTGAAGCCCTGAAAACTGACCCACCTAAGCCGCAAAACTTAAGAGGAATGGGTGCCCCCCTTAAAAGAAAGAGTGTTCTGTAAAAAGAGGTGAATGGATGTTAGCTAAAACAGATGGCCATTAGAGTGTTTATGAAAATACAGCTTCTTAGTAGCTCATAACATTAGTACCTTAAAAATGTTCAGATGTGTTTAGATTCTAGTGTATTTTTTCATTTAGATATTATTTTTCTTACTCTTATTTTTGCTTTACTACCCCTGACTATAAAGTTGAAGTCCTTGAGACAGTGAATTGCCTTTAAGTGTTTTAAAATCACCCTTTAACAGTCTTGGAGTACTTCTGAGTCTAAAACCTAAAACACTTTGATAATTTGTGGAAACTCTTCTTTTGTGCAAAGCCTTTGTTTAACGTTGTTAGAGTCGATCTCTTTTTTTAGGGGGAGCCTTAAAAAGACAGAGCTGCAACATAGCAGTTATTCAATTCTGTTTTGAATTATCTGCCATATTGTGAAACAGTGGGAAATGAACACAATCTAGAACCACAGCTAGCATTGCTCCCAGACCTTCTTAGTTACTCTGACCCTAAAGTTGTTTGTTTATCAAGCTTGAGGGAACACTTCTGAATTCTAGCTGGCATTACTCTGGGTTTAACATCTTCCATAAATTAGGAAGAACACTGTCCACAATCTCACTCTGCATAACCTCAAGTCTTCATTTTCTCAAAGCTCACTCCTCTTTCTCCTTGCTTCATTGCAGCTCACAGAATGGGTGAGACTTGTCCGATTTTTTAGGACAAGTGACATAGGCCTGCTATTTAAATGAACAAAGAAAGGACGTATTTTCTACATGGTAATTTGTTTAACAGAACTATTCACCTCATTGCTATTTTGGGGAATTAAGAGTACAAAATACCTTTGAATCTTGTTCAATATTAAGTCATGTTTATTTTTAAAGTGAGAGTCATTATTCTAAGTGGAATAGGATTTGGTTTTTCTGCATTGGCCAATAGCTCAAAATGCTATTTTATAATTATATTGGTTCCTTCCAACTGACCTTGTCTATAGATTTGCAAACACATATAGACATTTTACGTTTTATGTTTTTCAGCTATAGCAAAATATTTTCCTTTTCTAGGTCTGCCTATGGGTGTCTACGCACCTTATATCAACATTTATATCTATAAACATACACGTTTTAGCACCTATACTATTCTATATTTTTAAATTTTGTACCAAACTCCTCTGAGACTTATTATGGTTTACACCCAATCCCATTTTATCTACTTAATGATTGGAGCCACTTTTTTATTCTTATTTATTTCTCTAATGAACTTTGGAGGATTGCAATTTGCTAAGTTCTAGGGTACAACTGTGCTCAAGACAGACCCAATCTCTGCCCTCACAGTATCTTGGTTGGTTACATATTTGCTCTTACTTCTTTCTTCCCCCCAGCTTTATTGAGGTATGATTGAAAAACGAAAAAATTATATATTTAAATTATACAACTTGAAGTTTTGATATACATATACATTGTGAAATAATCACCACAATCAGACTAATTAACATATCCCTGTCACCTGACAGAGTTACCATTTTTTCTTTCTTTTTTGTATCAAGAACACTTTAATTCTACACTCTTAACATATATCAAGTACACAATACATTATTGTTAATTAAAGCACATTATAACTAACTATAATTACATTAGCTATCCATATCATATGCATCTTGCATAACTAAAATTTTGTATGCCCTGGCCAATAACACTTCATTTCCCCCTGTTAACCAGCTCCTGGCAACCACCATTCTACTCTCATCTCTATGAGTTCATCTATTTAAGATTTCATTCTATTCAAGGTGAGATCATGCAATAGTTGTCTTTCTATGTTTGGCTTATTTCACTTAACTTAATGTCCTCCAGGTTCATCTTTGTTGTCACAAATGACTGGATTTCTTTCTTTTTTAAGGCTGAATAGTATTCTATTGTGTACCTATACCGCATTTTCTTTATCTGTTCATCCACTGACAGACATTTAGATTACTTCCATGTCTTAGCTATTGTAAACAATGATGCCATGAATATGAGAGTGCAGATATCTCTTCAACATACTGATTTTTTTTGGGGTGGGGGATACCTAGAAGTGGGATTGCTGAATCATAGTTCTGTTTTTACCTTTCTGAGGAACTTCCATGCTGTTTTTCACAATGGCTATACCAGTTTACATTCCCACCAACAAAAGTTCCATTCTGTATAAGAGTTCCGTTTTCTTCACAACCTCACCAACATTTCTGTCTTTTTGATAATAATCATTCCAAGAGGTGTGAGCTCATATCTCATTGTGGTTTTGATTTGGATTTTCCTGATGGTCAGTGATGTTGAGCATTTTTTCATATGGCTGTTGGACATTTTTATGTCTTCTGTTGAGAACTGTCTATTCATACCTTTTACCTAAGTTTTAATAGAGTTTCTTTTTTTACTTATTGAGTTGTATGAGTTCTTATGTATTTTGGATATTAATTCCTTATCAGGTATATAGATTGCCAATATTTTCTCCCATTATAGGTTGACTTTTTATTCTATTGATTGTTGTCGTTGCTCTTCATGAGCTTTTTAATTTGATGCATTCTCACTTGTATATTATTACTTTTTTTCTTGTGCTTTGGTATCATATCCAAAAATATCATGATCCAAATTAATTTCAAGAAGCTTGTTTCTTATGTTTTCTTCTAGTAGTTTTATGGTTTCAGGCCTTATGCTTAAGTCTTTAGTTCATTTTGAGTTGATTTTTGTATGTGGTATAAGTTGAGTTCAATTTCATTCTTCTGTGGTTGGACATACTGTTTTCCCAACATAATTTATTTAGGAGACCATCCTTTCCCCAGTGTGTGTTCTTGGAACACTGTTAAAGATCAGTTGATGGTAATGGGTGGATTCGTTAGGTTGGTGCAATAGTAATTGTGGTTTTGCCATTACTTTTAATGTTAATTAGTGTAATTTAAAGTAATGGGAATACCACAATTACTTTTGCACTAAACTAATACTTCTGGGCTCTTTCTGTTCCATTGGTCAATATGTCTATTTTTATGCCACTACTATACTGTTTTGATTATTATAGCTTTGTAAGATATATTTAAATCAGAAAGTGTGATACCTTCCCCTTTGTTCTTCTTGTTCAATATTGCTTTGAGAGGCCAGGCACAGTGGCTTACTCCAGTAATCCCATCACTTTAGAGGCTGAGACAGGAGGATCACTTGAGGCAAGGAGTTTGAGACCAGCTTGGGCAACATAACAAAACTCTGTCTCTTCAAAAAAATTTGAAACATAAAAAAATTTCCTGGGTATGGTGGCACTTGCCTGTAGTCCCAGCTACTTGGGAGACTGAGGGGGGAGGATTGCTTGAGCCCAGGAGTTTGAGGCTGCAGTGAGCTATGATTGTGCCACTGCACTCCAGCCTGGGCAGCAGTGCAAGACCCTGTCTCTAAGAGGAAAAAAAAAAGGATTGCTTTGGCTATTGAAGGTCTTTTATGGTTCCATATGAATTTTAGTATTTTTTTCTACTTTTGCAAATAATGCCACTGGGATTTTAATAGCTATTACACCAAATCTGTAGATTATTGTGGGTAGTATGGACATTTTAATAATTTTAATTCTTACAATCCATAACCATGTATGTCTTTCCATTTGTCTGTGTCTTTTTAAATTTTCTTCATCAATATTTTATAATTTCCAGTGTGTAAGTCTTTTGCCTCTTAAGTTCATCCTAAGTATTTTATTCTTTTTGTTACTATTATGAATGGGATTGTTTTCTTAATTTTCCTTTTAGATAGTTTGTTGTTTGTGTATAGAACATGACTTATTTTGTATACTAATTTTATACCCTGAAACTTCACTGAATTGTTTTATTAGTTCTAACATTTTTTTTCTTTTTTTGTAGTCTATAGAGTTTTCTACATATATGATCATGTCATCTGCAAACAGAGATAAGCTTATTTCTTCCCTTCCTAATTAGATGCATTCTATTCCGATTTCCTTTCCTTTCCTCTTCTTTTCTTTTCTTTTCTTTTTTGTCTAATTGTCTAATTGTTCTGGCTAGGACTTCCAGTACTGTGTTGAATAGATGTAGTGAGAATGGACATCCATATCTTATACCAGAAATTAAAGAAAAACTTTCAGTTTTCCTCAATGATTATTATGTTAGCTGTGGGCTTTTCATGTATGGCCTGTATTGTGTTTAAACAATTTCCTTCTATACCTATTTTGTTGAGAGTTTTTATCATGAAAGAATGATGAACTTTGTCAAATGCTTTTTCTGAATCTATTGAGATGATCATATTGTTTTTGGCCTTCATTCTGTTAGTGTGGTGTATCACGTTGATTGATTTCCTTATGTTGAGCCATCTTTACACCCCAGGGATAAATACCACTTGGTCACGGTGTATGATCCTTTTAATGTTCTGTTGAATGCTGTTTGCTAGTATTTTATTGAGGATTTTTGCATCAGTATTTATCAGGAATATTTGCTTTTAGTTTCCTTTTCTTGTTGTATCTTTGTCTGGTTTTGATCAGGATGGTCCTGGCCTCATAAGATGAGTCTGGAAGTGATTCCTCCTATTTTATTTTTTTGGAAGAGTTAAAGAAGGATTGTTATCAGTTCTTCTTTGATTGTCTATTAGAATTCACCAGATGAGAAGTCATCTCATCCTGAGCTTTTCTTTTTTGAGACACTTTTGATTACGGACTGAAATAAATGTCTTCCTTGTGCAGTTTGTCTACACTATCCTATTTCTTCTTGATTCAGCTTCAATAAGTTGCATATTTGTAGAAATTTATTTATTTCCTTTAGGTTATCCAGTTTGTCAGCATATAATTGTTCACAATAGTCCCTAATGATACTTTTCATTTCTGAGGCATCCATTGTAATATCTTCTCTTTGATTTCTGATTTTATTTATTTGAGTCTTCTCCATTTTTTCTTATTAGCCTAGCTGAGTTTGTTGATTTTGTTGATGCTTTCAAAAAATCAACTCTTGTTTATGGATTTTTTTATTGTTGTCTGTTTCTTATTTGATTTACTTCTCTAATCTTTATTAATTCCTTCCTTCTGATAATTTTAGGTTTAGTTTCTTCCTCTTTTTCTAGTTCCTTGAGGTGTAAAGTCATGTTGCTTATTTGAGAATGTTCTTTCCTAGTGTAGGCATTTATGTTGTATTTTTGTTTTCATTTGCTCTGAAATTAAACCTAGTTACATTGCCGCCTCTGCTTTTCCATGTTTTCTTTAGTCTGCTTTTTAGCTTTACCTTTGTCTATTCTTTCCCTCTTTATTTAAGATCTCTTAACTTGAATAAATATAACAGAGTGAACAGTGAAGGGGTTATTTCATTCCTTTTGGGAGGATATTCCTCTGTTTTAACCTTGGCTTCTAGGACTGACTGGTCATAAAAGGAAACAATAAATGCAAAGCATTGAGTCCAAAAGTGGAGAAAAGCCACAGTTCATCTTCCCTGGCAATAATATGATAGTATTATTTTAAGATTCAGTGAATTCTGTTCTGCGAGCTGTAAGATTGGTTGATTTGTAATAGGGGGAAAAAGGGCATGTTGTGGGGAGGGTAGACATTTAGAGAAAGTAAATGACCTTGAGGGTATTGAACTCTGTGAATCAACTTGTTCTCTAAAGTTAGGGGACATACCACTTCTAGATGGTGAACCTGTGGGTGTTCATTTGAACAGTAGAGTCATAGAAAAACTTTACTATCTGGAATATAATAAAAATGCTGCTTTAACTGCTAAGTCGCCATCTGTTACCAGCTCTTTGCTACTGGTTTATCTTTTTTCCTTTTAAAACGTGAATTCTTGGATTTTCATATTATAATTTTATACTTACCTTAAATTAGGATTGAGAGGAAACTTTGACAACACCTCTTAAAAGAAAATTATTAACTTGTAAAAATCATACTTTTAGGTTTGGGTAATAGCTGGGGAGAAAGCAAAAGCAAATCAGGAAGCTTGTAGGTGACTCATGTGCATTTCTATGTATGAGCAACAGGAATGGTAGAACTTTTGTTCCACTGCAGTTGTACAATCTAATTATTCACTGATCAATCTACACATACTGCATTACTATGTAGGTTTTAAGATGGCATCTTTGCCATATGTCTCTTTTTTAACCTTGATATCTTACATGTAATAGGTTTTCATCAGTTTTGATGAAATCATGATGATAATGATTACGATAATGCCTCCCATTATTTTCTCTTTAGTATAAGGCATTTAATGGCTTTTCCTAAAAAATAATGCAAGCAGTTCTTAACCCTAACAATGAGGGATAGAGTAGGTGTCCTTACCTACACTTGTTACTATAAGTGATATATTTATATAAAGAGATGTATGTAAAGGAAATTCATTCACTCATTCATTTATGTACCTAACCATTATTCCTTCATCAGTTCTTGTTAAGCACTTACTATATTAGGCCCTGTATACATTTTACATGAATTATCTCCTAACCTTATAACAATGGTGTGTAAAGAAACTAATATTATCCATTTTATAGATGATAAATTCATGATTAGGGATATTAATTATGATGTCCAAATTTGCACAGGTGGCAAATGATACATTTGAAATCTGAACCCACACAATCTAATTCAAGAGTTACATTGCCACTACTTCAAAAAATGTGGTTTATTTTATAGGCAAAGAAAAGGCACTGAATTGAATATTATGACTAAGCTTGTGATCTTAAAAGATTTAGGTTCTGAGTTGGACCTGATTAAAAATTCCAGCTCCACCAATTACTGATTACATGAACCTGGTGGGAGTTGTTCAGTCTTTCCATACTCCAGGTTCTTCCTTTTTCAACAGTGTTGCTGAGCCATTAAATGAAACAGCTTTATGTAGAAAGCACTCAGCATAGTAAAATCATTATAAATGTTAGCTATTACACACTTACTTCTCTCCTTTTCTGGAGGAAGGGAGAAGATGGGTTTTTATTTTACAATCTTATTTTATAAAACTATAAGCCTGGAGTCTAGGGGGTAATGTAGGAATTGAAATATGAAATGGTTCTGATCTAAGGTAGAAACATTAGATGGATGAAAGAATATCATGCCGATAGAATTAAAAATTGTTAGGTTGGAGTATTTTATGTGGGCTGAGAGTAAAATAAATCTACAATTTGTGTGAGTGGTAGAATGTGAAGCGATTAAATAGGATAGGGAATTGGAAGGGAAGTGCTAGGACAATTCCTGGCACATAGTAGGCATGCAACAAAAGGTTGGAAGCTTGATTGCTGTGATCTGTATGCAAAGATCATATGGTTGCATAAATGTGTTAATATTGTTCTTTGGTAAGTGTTTTCCTGGTATTTAAGTGCAATGGAGCACAAAGGTTTGTTGTCTAAAGTGTAATAATGAAAGGAATATGACCATTACTCCATCTGTCATTTTCACTCATGCCTTTAAATGAGCCCTTTGCTCCAATAAAATGGTTCAGTTAATGGTTCCTTAAAGCCACACACACTTACCTGTCTTTTTGCCTTTGATGAATTTATTGCTTAAGACTTTAGCCAGTATCTCTTTTTGCCCATTCTTTTTATCTGTATTTATTTTTATATGTTTTTTGAGATGGAGTCTCACTGTGTTACCCAGGCTAGAGTGCAGTGGTACGATCTCGGCTCACTGCAACCTCCGCCTCCTGGGTTCAAGCAATTCTCCTTCCTCAGCCTCCTGAATAGGTAGGATTACAGGCATCCTCCACCATGCCTGGCTAAGTTTTGTAATTTTAGTAGAGATGGGGTTTCACCATGTTGGCCAGGCTGGTCTTGAACTCCTGATCTCAGGTGATCCACCCACCTCGGCCTCCCAGAGTGCTGAGATTGCAGGTGTGAGCCACCATGCCCCGCCTCTTTTTGCTCATTCTTTAAAGTAGGAACTTTGGTAGAACTTTCACAGCCTGTAACATATGTCTCTAGCCCTAGCTTGGTTCTAAATCCCATGGTGCCTTCTCCTTGGGAAAAACAGAGAAGGCACTATGAGATTTAGAATCAAGTTAGGACTGCAGATACAGGTTACCTATGTTACAGGCTGACAGCCACAGGTATATTGCTCTCTGCACATGTGTTTTTTCCTGGCCTCTCAATGACATTATAAGCTTCTATTATACCTCATGTGGCGTAACTGCTCTGCAATAATAGAAATTCAATAAAGGACTCTTTAATTTACAATTAAAGTCAGGATTGAATTTTGTGGAAAATCTTGATGCAAATGTACAAAAGAACTTCAAGAAAATTAGAATGCCATGAGTCATGCATTTCCTGGTACTATTCATTCTTCTTTAGGTACTATCATTCTGCTCAACCTAACATTTCTACCACCTACACCTACCATCTGGAATTATAGGCAGAGGGTATGAAGGGTGTCAAATCTTGAAAGAAAATTGCCTTTTCTCCAAAGTTGATGAAACTAAACCACAGTTGATTGGATTACTTGCTCAGCAAGAGAGTAGAACCTTGTCTTTATGAATTAAATGTCACTATTTCGTCTATTTGAAGATGACCTTATAGAGGATCATGGCTTACGACAAGTTATTTTGCTGAGGCTTGAATTTGAATTGTGTGTTGGTGAATGAGGCACTGCACACACAGTCAGAGCAGCTGCTCTCCATGCAGCTTTTCTTCTCTTTGGTTTTCTGTATCATACACAGTAATCCTTGGGTGTTATTCACATCTACTTCTTGTGGAGTAATAGTATATTATAGTGGTATCATAAATTCGGGATTTATGAAAGTTGTGGGACATACCTTCATGTGAATCTCAGTGGGTTACTGTATTTAATGATTTTTTCTCTTTTGTTTTGATTAAGAAGCTCTTTGCTGGGATGCTGAGTTCCGATTTAAATATTATACACCCTTCTTATTTCTCTCTGCAAAATTATAGCCTTGCTGATGAATTTTGCTTTACTCTTGAGTGTGGTTTACTTTTGCAGCAAATACAAATTTAGTAAGTTAAATCTAAAAGCCACAGTTAAACACAGTTCTCCTTCAGAGGTAAGAACCATAACTGTTTCTGTGGACCCCAGCAATGGTACCTTCTTTTACAAAACAATGTTCTTCTTGTTCCATAGTCAATTACACACTGAACCTCTGTGTTATCTGAGATCTAAGCAGCAGGGCTGCTCTCTCCAGAATTATATTCAGCAGCTGTCTCCTCCCTGTTAGCTTACCCATTCCTGATGTGTTGATTCCTTTCAGAAGGCTCCAATCCAAATAAGACTTAATTAGCAGCAGCCTGAAAATAGTGTGTCTGCCTTTCTTTTCCTGTATAAATCTTGTGAGTGCTAAGCTTCTAATTTCACTTTCCTCTTAATACTAACTGAAGGTCCCATAACTTTCTGTGGAATGTTGACTTTTTTTTTGAGTGAGATGAGCTCTTCTCATGCCAGTTAACTCTCATGTCGGTGACAGCACAATGGAGAAATATTAGGAAATCTGACAGGGAGAAACATTCATGTCTGATAGAGTCCAGCAACAGATTAGTGAAAGAAACTGGCCGTCCAAAATCATCCTCATTCATTTCCTTCACTAAGTCAAAGAAATCATTGTGCTCTGCTTAAGCCCCATGCTGAGTTCATTTTACTGACCCTTCCTTAATATTGGCTGAAGGGTATTTTTAATAACTTGGTATGTTTGGGAGTCAAAGGAGGCCAAGTTTCTGGCTAGGCTCAGAAGGGATAAAATAGTAATGGAATGTTTGGGGAATGAGAGGGAAAAAAAATGCCTAAAAGAAAGGTACCTTCTTTTAGACCTGTTTAATATAACTCCCCTAATTATTTCTGAAGTAGGGGAAAAAATATACAAAACCCTCTGAGGAATATCAATTTTTAAACATTACAGCCTTGAGTGAGCCACTTCAAAATGTGCAGAGAATTGGCTTATATTTTATTTGGAAACTAATGTTTAAGTCAAATGGAGCAACAGAAATCCATAGTAATCTATCCAAAAAAGAAAGACCAAAGGATTGGGAATAGGTCAGGGTGCAGTCAGGAGAGCCAGGCGAGGGATGGCAGTCAATGGAAGCCAAGCTGGCCCAGTCAGTCTGTGGGCATGTGAGCTGAATCACCAGTGTGGGGACCACTTTCCCGTAAGAAGCCCTGTTGTAATTGATCCTGTCTCCTGAGCCTCCCCGGCTGCCACTGGACATTGCAGGTTTGGCTTCCTGGCTATTGGTTTTGCAGTCAGAGGAGTTCAGTTCAGTTTAGTGTGTTGAGTATGAGCAAAGCAGTATGAGCCGTGAGGTATCAGGATGAGTGTGTGACTGCCTTCTCTTCTCATGTGTCATCTGTGTGAATTCTTCCCATGTATCAGCCTCTTCTAAGACGTGACCTTAACTAGTCCAGTTCCTGGTGCTCTGACCTCTCTCAAGCTACTTCACTCAGAGTGCTGATCAAATGGTTTGGAACCACAGTGTTAGCTATGTCCTTGTTCCATTTAGTCTGTAAATCCACTGAGGATGTATCTTATACTTCTTTTGAAATACACTCCGCCATTAGCACATTGAGGAGCACTACTAGGGGTTTAATTGACACCTGTTGATTGACTGGTACGTTAATTAATGTAGGGCCTTATAAGCATGTCTTCCAGAGACGTTTAAAAACTTTTATTCAAATTGTATATAACATCTACTTGACAAACATTTTTAGTAAACGTGATAATGTAGAAACAGAATTATTCCCTGTAAAATATTATTCATTTTAGTAATTTGAGATAAAGAGTTATTTGCTCACTAGATTTTATTCACTTGGCACCTGTTTATTAAGTGCCTATGGTGTGTCATAAGCACTGATGATGTAATTGAGACCTAATAATAGCCTAGGAAAGTATGAAAAAATATGAATATCTTCAATGTTGGTTCTTTCAGGCCAATATTTTTAAATGACTCATTGGTAGCAAAACATCACTTTTTTTTTTTTTTAACGAGCAGATATTTATAACTGCTACCAAAACCAGGAATAGTTTACTAAATATGGGGGTTTGAAGATATTGTCTTTAGCTGGGAAAAGCTTCCAGGCTACAAGAGAGGATAAAGACAGTGAGTAACATTTGAGATGTACTTTATTTCATTACCTAACAAACACCTATCCAGCACTCACAATGGACAGGCTGTCTTCCAAGCAGGAAAAGATTATGGAGCATATGCTGTACATATGACCTCATTTAATCACTATAGTAAGTCTATAAAGAAGGTACTATTATTATCCTCCTTTTTAAAATAGGGAACTTGAAACTCTATTTTACAGTTAAAGTTCAGAGAAGTTAAGTATTTCACCCAAGGTCACACAGCCTGTGCGGTGGAGCTTCTTGCAAGAGTATTTTGGCCCTTTATAGGATAGAGAGATTAATTCCAACCAGGGAAAGAAGGGAATAAAGTAAGCCCCAGGGAATGGATGCTGTTTCAACCGGGTTAAGATTGGTTTGAAAACTGGTTAAGATTGGTCTGTTTGCAAATATGGGGCAGTCAAGAATATACCCAGAGAAAGCTATTCCACAAGGGACATAAATGTAAGATATTAACAAAATACCATTCTCTGTCCAACATTAAAATTTTAGGAAGATACATCCTCCTCTATTCTTTTCTCTCAAGGACTTCCCAAGTTTCCGTGCAATGTTTGCTTTAATTCTTTTAATATGAATAATACAATATGTTTTACATGGCACTACCACTTTATTTAAATCTCAAGATTTTCTAAGAGTTAAATGTTCACTGCTAGTCTTCACAGCAATCATCAAACAGGCCTATTCAGTTTAAGATGGCCTCATGTGTGCGCTGTCAGTGACATCTGCCAAAACCATGTCTTATTTGTGAGAAATGCCCCTTGTCTCTGCTTGATGGAAAACTGATCAGCCTCTTTTACTCTTTCAACTCAATGATTAGCAATTACTGCTAACCTAGAAAACTTCGCTGGATATTTATTTAAAAATTCTCGTCTTACTGGGCATGATGGATCTTATTTGCTTTTTAATATAAACAGTGAAAGTATAAATACATTCTTACTTTTTGGAGAAGATAATAATATTAAATTTAATTTTTGTCTCCAGTGTTATTGCATTTTTCTAACAGAAAAACTAAATAAAACATATCTTTAGAATTTAATTCTCTTTAAGATATCACAAACTATTTTTCAATTTTAAAATAAAACTATATCTATATATATATACACACACACACACACATACATATTTGAGACAGAGTCTCACTCTGTAACCCAGGCTGGAGCGCAGTGGTGTGATCTCAGCTCACCGCAACCTCCACCCCCAGGTTCAAGCAATTCTCCTTCCTCGGCCTCCCAAATAGCTGGGATTACAGGCACCCACCACCATGCCCAGTTAATTTTGGTTTTTTTAGTAGAGATGGGGTTTCGTCATGTTGGCCAGGCTGTTCTTGAACTCCTGACACCAGGTGATCTGCCCACCTCGGCCTCCCAAAGTGCTGGGATTACAGACATGAGCCACCGTGCCCGGACAAAATATTTTAAAACATTGTAAATGATCATTGGGTTTCAGTGGTCCAAATCAGAATTTTCTTTGGAAGAAAAACATTAAGAGAAATACACTAATAAAAATAAATCAGTGTAAGCACTTGAAAATTAGTTAGAAAAGATGCGTAGAGATACCTTGATATAGTAAATATCATATAGTCACGTAATATTAAAAAATCAATTTGAAAACATTACATAGAATCAAATATCTCTAAGGAAAAATCATGTGAACAACTGATGTAATAATTAAGTTGAATATCAAAGGATGATGTAAAATCTATTTTAATCATATACTAGGGATTGGACTTTCTGATAAGACCCAGAGACACTTTATTTATTTTTATTTTTTTATTTTATTATTATTATACTTTAAGTTTTAGGGTACATGTGCACAATGTGCAGGTTAGTTACATATGTATACATGTGCCATGCTGCTGTGCTGTACCCATTAACTCATCATTTAGCATTAGGTATATCTCCTAATGCTATCCCTCCCCCCTCCCCCCACCCCACAACAGTCCCCAGAGTGTGATGTTCCCCTTCCTGTGTCCATGTGTTCTCATTGTTCAATTCCCACCTATGAGTGAGAACATGCGGTGTTTGGTTTTTCGTCCTTGCAATAGTTTACTGAGAATGATGATTTCCAATTTCATCCATGTCCCTACAAAGGACATGAAATCATCATTTTTTATGGCTGCATAGTATTCCATGGTGTATATGTGCCACATATCTTACAGATGAAGAAATGGGGGACCAGAAGTTTGTCACTTCCTTACGTCACATTACTTGTAAGGGGTAGAGAGAGCAGAGCTAGTGCTTCAACCCAGGGCCAGAATCAGCAAGGCCATTCTTTCTATGTGCTGCTAGAAAATGAAGACTTTGTCATGGTGCATTCAGCAGCTCTGATCAACTGGTAACTTGTCAGTTGGACAGATCCTATTTTCCAGAGCCTTACTGAAGGTCTGGGGATGGAGTGAGTCACAGGACTGAGCTTGCATCCTATAGGAGCATAATCACCCCTGGAAAGATAGCCCTTCAATTTTAGGGCAATAGCTATGAGACTGCTACCCTAGTTCTTCCAAAAGTAGAGTTTCAGAGCACAATGGCACTCTTCTCCCACCACCAAAATTTTCATTTTAGAAAAAGAACAGTAACCTTTAAGGATAGGCCTCCTATCCTGCTTTATACATTTTCAGAAATGCCCTTGAATTATATGTATACTTTTGTGGCTTGACTTACTAACTTTCCTTTTTGTTGGCTTCCTGCACAGAAAAGCTGTTGGGGGTGACTGGTAGATGCATTTGTTAAAGGGCTAATTTACAAGAGACCACTTTACTGGAAAGGGTGCCTCTCTCCAAATAATAAGTAAATAAATAACTTTTTCCAGAAAAATCCTCAAAAACAAAAACTTTCTAAGACCTGTTTACCTTGCAGAAGCCTTTCAATTGGCCTTTAGGGCAGCATGAACAGAATGTTCTATACCTTGAGTGGTCCATGCACTCAGGAGAATGTGCTGATTTCAGCGTCTTCCTTATAGCCATGTGAACACCAAAATAGGATTCCTTTTTCCTCTGCTCCAGCTTTCTGGAGCAATTGTTTTGACTGTTCAAAAGTGTAACATTTTGCTTTGTTTTATGTTTTTCTGGATAAAAATATCATTTTCTTCCTAGAGAATTTGACTTGCTAAGCACATATCTTGTGAATTAATATCACGTTCCTGATATGGAGGGCTTTTGTAATCAGAATAACTATCACACACCACAGAGGAATAAGAGGTTGAATATGTTCAATTTCTGTCTGACTATTGGAAGCCTCAGGTCATCACTTCTTGGAGGCAGTCCTGAGTAGATGCAATAGACACTAAGGCAAATATTATGTGTACCATATGACAGTTAATTCTTGGAATAGCTCTGGAAAGTAGACATTATATGACCATTATTTTACTGAAGACAATGCTACAGCAAGGATGATTTAGTGACTTATTTAGGGCCTCACAGTAACAGAACCTGGATTGAAATTAAGTTTGGTCTGAGTCAAAGTCTGCTTTCTTTTCATTCCATTACACTGGATAGGCTTGAGAGTATATTGCAGAGAGAATATGGCATTTGTACCCAAATTTCATAGTTGACTTACATTTGGGGCTTCTTTTTGAAATTTTGGTTTCACAGGCGAGAATGACAAGTTGCATATCAGAATTCAAGAGTGAGATTTGGGCTTGAAAATCACCTATTTGAGATTGATATGCATATTTCCCTCTTCAACTTTCCATATAAAGCCAGGCTTTTACCCAGTATGGCCTTGGTTGTACCCCTGTGTAGTTCTGGGAGTTTCCATAGTTGATATGTGTATGTTGGAGGGGAGGCAGAGAAAATAAACATGTCCATTCTGAATGCCTTTTCCTGTGAGAGATGCTAATCGGCTTTCTCTCTCTCAGGAGTATATGTTCAATGTCTGGATGTTTTCAATGTCTGGATTAATTCAGCCGTCCAGGAAAGAAGTTTGTGCTTTGCTCTCCATGGACAACATCTAGTAAAGGAGACTTAGTCTCATCGTTCTTCTCTGAGGAGGCAGGATTCACGACCAACTCATCCCATTGAAGACAATATTAGCAGAAATTATAAAAGGAGCTTACAGAGTATTTTGCAAAGTTCATTTACTTACATTGCCAAAAGTTATGTGATTTTACTAAATCCCTCAAAACTCCTCTAAGGAAGTTGAGAATATCTCCATTTATCCATTGAAGAAACTTCAACTTAGAAAGTTCAAAGGGATTTGTTTGAAGTCATGGAGTCTAATGGCTCCCACTCAAGGGTTCTTTTGTCTGCTGTACCATCTTCCACCTGCTGCCTTACACATTTCAGAAGTGTGAAAATGGGGAGCAGACTGTTTCTCCTGGATTCTGAGTATCAGTTGCCCCCTTCCTGAGTTAGAGAAATATCAACAAACTTGCAGTTTGTATAAGAATTCGATACTTAATGATAATGCATTATTATACAGTGTTAATATATTATATATTATTAATATAATGCATAACTACTACACAGATATATTTATGCACATGCATACACACAATCCCTTTATACCTCCTGTTTTCCAGGTAAAATGAGAGTTTACATTTATTGAGTGTTTACCATGTTCCAGATACTGCCCTTAGCTTTTCAACATAGAAAAGTATTATTATCTTAATTTTGTAGAAAAAGAAGCTGAGAAGACTGTGGAGGTTAAGTAACTTGCCCAAGGTAATGCAATCAGTGGTGGCACCAGGATTTGACTCCAAGATGATCTTTTCCAGAACGTTTGCTACTAAACACTCTGTTTTATTGACTCTCCTTTGCTTATTTCTGATCGTGGTGGTGAAAAGTGGAGTTCTTTTTTCTAGTAGAATGGTGCTTCAATATTTCACATGTAACTTGCATTTTCCTCAAGTTCATGTTTATTTTTGAGTTCCTGGTCTCTGAGTTTACTCACCTTTTATTTAAATATGTAAAGTAGAGGCTGTCCCGAGTAGAGGCAATAAGCATTAGACCAAATATTCTATGTACTTTATGACAGTTAATTTTTGAAATAGCTCTGATGAACATAAAACACCAGAGACTGAAATATATTCTATATTATTTATATTTGTCCATCTTTTATAAAGTTTTATGCTATACTTTTGAGGTACTCTAAATAATTTTAAGAACTTAATTTTTCTGTGTATTAAGAGCAGATTAATATAGCCTCAAGGAAAGAAGAGATTCCCTGAGAAAGAAAGTCTATTTTATCTCATTTTGTTTCACCAAGTTTTTGGTTGTCAAAATTCAGGTATTCAGTAAACACAAATGTAGATTATGTCTATTGAGCTCCACCTTTTAGTTTATTTCCCTCTTAAATCAAATAAAAGTAATTTGAAAACCAAATAAGAAAATGAAACAATTAACAACTGGGAATTCAAGTACCTAAGGTACATTAAATATGTATGTGCTAACTTATCCCATGGAGCTTTGCTACATCTCAGAACTTGTCAAAATGAATTCCTTTCCCTTGCACTCCTGTACCATTTTTTCGCTTTATTACATTACTTTATATAGATTACTTGTAATTTCTGTGAGTAATTGTGGTGGCAGGGAAACTGGTTAAGTACAGAGGTGCTTAAAGTGTTGACTTTTTGCTTAGCTAGAAACAGGTCTCTGCCTGTTTCACTATTTAGTCTCTGGTGATCATGCACAAGCCATTTAACTTCTTTATATTTCAGTTTCCTTGTATGTTAATAGGCCTATTGATACTAACTACATTGCAGGGATTTTGCAATGATTAAATTACATATTTCATAAAAAGCACATGGGCCTATTGCTCAGTAAGCAGTTAGCTGATGTTATTGTTAATATCCTTTCATTCTTATTCTCATCTCTTGATTTCAGAGGTTTGTTGCCTTTTTCCTGAGCAAGGTAATAGCAGGGCTATTACATTAGCCTTCTCACTGGTCCCTAACAATCAGTAGTCAGTGTGTGGCAAGGAAACTAGATCATGTGAGATATTTTATCAGAAGTGATTTAATATAGAAATTGTTCAAGTAGGTTGAGGAGAGGTGCTAGAAAAATAATACTAGAATAACACAGAGCCAATAACTGCAAGAAGCAATTGCACATTTAGGGTAAATTAAAGGGAAAAAGTGGGGTTTTAGGACCGGCAAGCTCAGATGAGACCTCACTGAACTGGAACCCAGTCTTCTGAGGAGGTGGTATTATCAAATTTTGGCAAGGAGCTGAGACCTTTGAGGAGGGGGCACCACCAACTGGTGCTGGTGCTGACGGTATGATGAGGCTTGTTCTGGGAGTGTAGAGAAAGCTGGAAAGTGGGACCAACTGCTGCTGCCCATGTGAAGTTCTAATCCTGGGGTAATGTAATCAAAAAGACAGCCAAGCAGGAAGGGGTAAGTTCCTTCTCCCTCTCTTGCCTTCTTGCCTCCCCCAGGGCTTCTTCTGGCAGGTATGAACAGTCTTCCAGTTGGTCAAGTGCAACAAATGTAGTCTGCTGAACCATGAGGTCTGCATCAGAAAACAAAGAACAGAAGGATGGGTTTAGAGATAAGAGGCAATATCTTAGTAACCAACACAAGTGTCTTTCAAATCCCAGTCTCTTTCATAAACTCCTATTGGATTAAATAATCAACAGAGTGAACAGAGAGCCTACAGAATGGGAGAAAATACTTGCAAACTATGCATCCAACAGAAAACTAATATCCGGAATTTACAAGGCACTCCTACAACTCAGTGACAGCAAAAACAACAAAAATAACCCCATTAAAAAGTGGACAAAGGACATGAATATGTATTTTTCAAAAGAAGATATACAAATGGTCAGCAAGCATATGAAAAATGCTTAACATCACTAATCATCAGAAAAGAGCAAATTAAAACCACAATGAGTTAGCATCTTATACCAGTTAGGATGGCTATTACTAAAAATACAAGAAATAACGGATGTCGATGAGGATGCAGAGAAAATGGAACACTCATACACAATTATTGAGAATATAAGTTAGAACAACCTCTATGGAAAACAGTTTGGAGATTTCTCAAATAACTACAAATAGAACTACCATTCAAACCAGCAATACCACTACTGGGTATCTACCCAAAGGAAAAAAAAATTGTTATATCAAGAAGATACCTGCATTCATATGTTTATTGCAATACTATTCATAATAGCAAAGATATGGAATCAACCTAACTGTTCATCTACAGATGATTGGATAAAGAAAATGTGGTATACATATGTACAATGGAATACTATTCAGTCATAGAAAAGAATGAAATTGTGTCTTTTGCAACTACATGGATGGAACTGGAGGTCATTGTCTTAAGTGAAACAACTCAGAAACAGAAAAATACTGTGCGTTCTCACTTATTCATAGGAAGTAAATAATGTGTACACATGGGCATAGAGTGTAGAATAATAGGCATTGGAGACTAAAAGGTGAGGGAGTAGAATTGGGGGTAGATGTTGAGAAATTACCTAATGGGTATAATGTACATTGTTCAGGTGATGGCTACTCTATAAGGCCAGACTTCACCACTACACAATATATCTATATAACAAAATTATACTTGTACTTCTTAAATTTAAACCCCCCAAAAATTTCCTACAGTATCACTTGGAACACAGCTCTCACCTGCTCCAATATCTTCATGTCCTATTGAGCAAAGGAAATTCAATACACACTTTTTAAAAAAGAACCTATTATGAACATTGTGCTCTGGGCTATGGAGGATATAGACATGAATAAGAAGTTTTTCTGTCCTCACACAGTTTAATGAAGAACAAGGTTAACAGAAATCATTCCATAGCAAACGCAGAAAGTACTTAGAAGGAGGAATGTGTCCTGGCTGGTGAGATTCAGGAAGAGTTCATGGAAGGATAAGTAAAAATTCACATTCAATAGTGTGGCCTCTTATACTTGGCTGACTTTTCACTATACCCATATTTTTATTTTTTTATTTTTTTGCTACTATGTAACTATTTCCTGTTTAGCCTTCAGTGTTTATTTTCTGTATACTTTTTTTCTCATGCCAGTCACTTAGACATATGGCCAATGTTACTGAGTGCCTTCTATGGGTGCTTTCAGCTAGTTGTAAGGATACAACATTGAACAAATGAGACAAGGTGCCCCCATTATGGACCTTGCCCTCTAGGTGGGTAGGCAGTTCTTAATATTAAAAGGTCACCCAAATGAATGCAAAGTTGCACATTTTGGTTGGTGCTGGGAAAGACAGGTGCAAACTGCTATGCTAGTAGGGTGATCAGGTTTCATTCTGGAGTCACAAATGGCTTCCCTGAGGTATAGGTGTTAGGTTAGGTTGAGTCAAGAAGGCTGTTTCCAGCCTGTGCAGATCTCGGAACAGAAGAAGCAGAGTATGCATCTGAGGAAAGGTCACTATGGGTGCAGAAAAAGGGAATGAGGAGTGTGTACAGCACTTTTCACACAGTAAGCATTTCTCAGGGTCAGGTTCAAAAGGCACCTCCTCCATGAAGCCTTTCTTAAAATACTTGAACACTAAAAAGATCCTCCCTCTTTTTAGCTCTTAACCATTGTGTATCTCTCATGAGGGTGTTTATTACATACTGCCTTGGTTTGTGATTATTTATGTGCAAGTTTGATTGTCTGTGCTCAACTGTAAGCTTCTAGAAACCATAATTTGTCTCATATCCATCTTTGTATCCTTCAGTGTCATGAGTTCTTAAAAAATATTTGCTGAATAAGGTCACTTCCTCAGTATGCCTGCTGGCACTTAGATGGTGTGTTCAGTTACATGCAACAGTTTAGTGTAACTGTTTCTTTCATTCATTGTCTCATATTACTAACTGACTTGTCCGTGGAGAACATTGGCAGTTGATTGACATTTGTGTATAACAGGTGAAGAAGTATTCACTGGCCCACTTTGGGAAAGACAGAAGTATGGAATTTGAGGACCGGTACCTTAGATCTCTATGAATCACAGTGAATGGCTGCTTAACCAAAAGTGTTCATAAATCTGTAGCATTGCAAAATGTAGGTTCAACCAACCAAATTTGCTTTATCTTTTTATTTCACCATCTGTGTTGGCTTGTTCTGATTTCCATGTCATTAGACAAGGAGAAGATGATCATCTTCCCGTAGCTAAACACTTGGATTCCATCAGAGGTTCTTCTGAAAAGTAAACATACTATGGAAAGGAGGGCCTGGGGGAAGCACCACACCTGTAGGCCTTCTTTCTGTTATTTTTTTTTCGTGGGGGATGGTGTTTCACTCTTGTTACCCAGGTTGGAGTGCAATGGCATGATCTTGGCTCACCGCAACCTCTGCCTCCCGGGTTCAAGTGATTCTCCTGCCTCAGCCTCCCTGGTAGCTGGGATTACAGGCATGTGCCACCACACCCGGCTAATTTTGTATTTTTAGTTAGAGATGGGTTTTCTCCATGTTGGTCAGGTTGGTCTCGAACTCCTGACCTCAGGTGATCTGCCCGCCTCGGCCTCCAAAAGTGCTGGGATTACAGGTGTGAACCACTGCTCCCAGCCCTTCCTGATATCTTCTAAGTCTCTTTGCAACAACCTGAGTGGACCCATTCTCCTGTGCTCAGGACCTAGCTCTAGGTATTCCCTTATCTTTCTTAGAATATGGTCATTCACTGGCATCTATGATGGAACAGAAAAATAGCTGGAAAATGAAAACTACAAAACTCTCACTCAACATTATTTTACAATAGTGTAGGAGTTAATAGTTGTGGCAGAACTGCATCTTCTAAGGAAAACTGCGCTATGACAAACAGCCCCAGAGTGAGAGGCAGTCAACTCACTGTCAGGGTGACCCATAAGTCCTAATGGGTGGGAATGATCATTATATGAAGACTATAAATCTGATTAATGTGCACTCTGAGATGAGGTATAACATTTCATGCCAAATGAGGTAGGGGTAGGTGAGAAAGGATGATAGAAACAGCTGGTTCTGCACATGTCTGAAGGACCATAGTAAAATTACAGTGACATAGAGAGATAAGTAAACAAACATAGGGAATGTTCAGATGGATATATGTGTGTGTGTGTGTGTGTATTTCAGTGTTTATATAAACATATACCTAAACTTATTTATAG
Source organism: Homo sapiens (assembly GCF_000001405.40). Classification (NCBI taxonomy): domain Eukaryota; kingdom Metazoa; phylum Chordata; class Mammalia; order Primates; family Hominidae; genus Homo; species Homo sapiens. Next base: position 51,312,745 of record NC_000010.11, read on the forward strand.
ACTCATAGCTGATGAATGAACCTTCACAAATATACTATTTCCAGTCCCCAAGTAGTGGGGTACACAATTTTATTCTCACTGTAAAAGCTTATTCTTTGGTAGGACATATTGCCAAATTTTTCACTGTGGGACTAATCTGGAGGCCATACGGTGACATTTAATTTATGGGCAATATTATCTAACAGCATTCCTTTAGCAGTTGGTAATTGTAATGTTTCATTATCTCAGTTTAGTTTTGTCATAATCTTGTGACATGGGCTGATATCATTATTCCACATTGATAAAGAAAGATATTTAAAGACAAACACAATTCCCATTAAGTTGCAGTGTGTGTGTGTGTGTGTGTGTGTAGGGTGTGTGTATGTGGGATTGTTTTTGAGTCATATAGGACATTCTTCCTCGTAACTGATATTCTGGATTAAATTTTAATTTGTGGAGTCTTGGGCAAAGTCTAAACCTAAATAATGTTTGGGAAGAGGGGCCATAACCTGAAAATCTGTGTCAGATTGGCCCTATAAGAGAGAGGTGAGCGTACTGGATTCTGGCTTCAATACATCTATTCCCCTTTCTAGATGAGTAAAGAGTAAGATACAGTTCTACCCTTCCTTTTCCCTCTCTCCTCTCCTATTCAGAGTCTATTCTATCTTATTTCACTTTGTTTTTATGGATGAATTTTACTGCAAAGGGTAAAGTCCAGCCTGCCCTTTGTCAAGAAAGATTAGACCTCATTATCTGTCCTCATTTCTCAAAGGCATGAACCAGGAACAATCAGAGTAACTTCTTTGGACCTTCCAGCACGAGAAAGAAGTGTTCTCTTCCCTATAGGTTAAAGACTGAGATGGAAAAGAAATAAAACAAATGCTTCTTGATTCTGACTTTTGTAGTATGTAGCCCTGCTATATATACAGTTGTCCCTTGGTATCCATAGGGGGATTGGTTCCAGGACCCAGAGCGGGTACCAAAATTTGCAGATGCTCAATTCTCTAAATAAAATAGCATAATATTTTCATATAACCCAGAAACGTCCTCCTGTATACCTTAAATCATCTCTAGGTTACTTATAATACCAAATAAAAGGCCTACATACCACTTCATTCTCATGGATTCAGTGTAGTACTTGGCACACGGCAAATTCAAGTTTTGCTTTTTGGAATTTCATGAAAACATTTTTCTGAATAGTTTTGATTTGCATTTGGATGAATCCATGGGTGTGGAACTCCAGGATGAGAGCTGCCTACTGTATTCAGTCTGTGCAGCAACTGGTAAAGGACACAAACAAGAAGTATGATGAGGTCTAATCTTTCTTGACATGAGGCAGGCTGGTCCTCACCTTTTTATGAAGAAAACTTTGATTCAGAAACTTTAATACACAGATATATTTGTGTACATGTATGTACATATTTATGTACTTAAGAATGTTGTGCAAGGTCACACAGCAACGTCATGGTACAGCCAGGGCTTACCAGGTGGCATAGGTTTTACATCTCCCTCAATATTTATTAAACTACAAACATCCCTCAGAGATGCTGAGAATCGCAGAGTCCCTCTGTAATATGATCACATGCTGTCTGTTTTTCCTCTAGCTGATTCCTGAAATGCTGGAGTTGGCAGGAAAAAAAAGATAAAGGTGAAATTAATTAAATGGGATCATGCATGTGAACACAGTTTGTAAATTCTAAGGTCTTACAAAAGATTTCTATATTAGTAATAGTTGCAATATGCTCATTTACATGAGCCACTTGTCATTCACAGCTAATTACTAAGCAGTACAGTAACAATTATGTGGATGATGAAATACACATCAGATCAACACTTTTGCAAGCTGTTTCAGTTACAATATTCAACTCTCTTCCCTTGGTTTCCATCTTCTAAGTATATTGCTTAGGAAACTTGGATAACTACTGACAACTAAGAAGAATTATGAACATTCATCATACAGGAAGTAAACATTCATCCAAGAAAAACAAGTGATAGAAATGAAAGATGAGATTCTGTTTCTGAGCTGCCCATTGGCTTTTCTTATGAGGACTGAATCTGTGGACTCTGTGAAATTTTCATATGCATTGTTACACTGTCTCGGAAAAGGCCATTTAAGTTTACAACATGAGAGAGCTAGCAGGCCCTCATCAAGTTCTGCAATTCTAACTGTATGTCTCCATTGGTCTCACATCTATGCCCTTGAGTTGGTTTCTACTCATGCCATTTTTCCAAAACAACTGTAATTAGTGTAAAAGTTGAACAAGCAAATATTAACTTGGCTGGGATATGATTTTCAAACTACATTACAGTAGAGAACAAAGTTTGTAATGAGATTCTGTGTACTACTATTCAAAGCAATTAGGAGAAATGAGTATTGAGCTCTTAACATTCTGACAAGTTATTTCAATATTGTGTCCAAATAAAGGAACTTTTTGTAATCAAAAAAACTGATTGATTTCTTGAGATTTCATAACATGAGACAAAAAAAGAAACAGTCATCACTGATCTTCCAGCAAGTCACAATTGTAATGTATTGAAAAATTTAATGGCCTTGACTTTAGAAGTGTAATGAGTTTTGTAATTGCTCATGTGAGAGGTTTTTGGTTATGCTGAATATACGGGTGCAAATAAGCAAATATAACAGGTGACATTTGTTGTTCTAATAAAATAAATCCAGCTTTGAACAAGTTTAGTGTAAAAGTTATAAATAATAAAGAAACTTTAAGAAAGAGAATATGTGATCACAGTATTTTTATGGGAAGGTAGGACATCTTGAATACTAATCTGGAATTTTATTGGTAAGAGGGGCCATTTATTGAGTTCTTAGTGTATTTTGAATTTGGCCGAGGCACTGACTATCCGGTTTAATCCTTATAAGCAATCCTGTAGGAAAATACAGCGTGGATTATCTAAGTAACTTTCCTGAGACCACATAGCCAATAAATGGAAAAGATAATTCAGTTGTGGGCCAATTTCAATATTTCTACTGTCCTAGAGGTTTTGCATAAATATGTGATATTAGAAAGAATTAAATATCAGAATAGTTATGCACGGGGATTTGAGAGAAAGCTCCACAATTATATAGTGAGCATTTCAGTCAAGAGGGAGAAGTGATAAAATTATGTGTAGAGATGAGTAGGTCCTGTTTGGATAACTCATTTGTCTGCATCTAATCTGTATCCTCAGAGTTTTGTAGCCTGTTTATATCACATTTAATTTGATATTTGTTCTTTCAAAATCTCCTATAATTGGGTTTCTCCTCCAGGTCAGGGATAGATGAGGTTAATCACAACAGGATCAATGAAAATACTAACCAGTAACATTCCCAGAGCCATTACAATCTGACTAACAGAAGGATGGAGTAGAAATAACCATTCTGTTTTCAACAAACTTTTGATTTTATCTCATTTTGAATGGGCACAAGAAAATCTAAGAGAGATTCTCTTTAAGAATTTTATTCAAATGTCCCCTTGGGTAAAGTTTGTATGGAGACTCTCAGAGCTAATATATGAGATACTACTTTGATTGTTGAACGAAAAAAGTAAAGAAATAATTATGATAAATCAAATGAAAACTGTATTTATATTATTAAACTGAAGAATGTGTGGCTTTATTACTTTATAGAATGAAGAGTTCTTAAATCATGTAAGGAATATTTTGTTCTTAAGACAAAGTTGGGACGGGGCGCAGTGGCTCACGCCTGTAATTCCAGCACTTTGGGAGGCAGAGGCAGGCAGATCACTAGGTCAGGAGTTCAAGACCAGCCTGGCCAACATGGTAAAACACCATCTCTACTAAAAATACAAAAATTAGCCAGGCCTGATGGCGGGCACCTGTAATCCCAGCTACTCAGGAGGCTGAGGCAGGAGAGTTGCTTGAACCCGGGAGATGGAGGTTGCAGTGAGCTAAGATCATGCCATTGCATTCCAGCCTGGGCGACAAGAGCAAGACTCCGTCTCAAAAAATAAATAAATAAATAAATAAATAAAAAGACAAAAATGAATTGCGATAATGGTATTATTACGGACGCCTTAAAAATTAGGACACTCTAGTTTCAAATATTACCACATTTCAAAGTTTCTTTTCAAGGCCTATTACAGAAAACTTCAAGCAGCAGTCACCAACTCATGACATGGCTTTTTTATTCTGAATGAGGCTTGAGATATTGTACAAAAATGAGTGGATAGTTAAACTTTTTTTGAGCTGGGTGCATAAAATGAACTCTTGACTTTTTATGATAGCCAAGAAATCTTCCCACACACAATCTGCAGGCCAGTTGCAAGTAGCTGGTGATCTCCATGGTCAGGTAAGTTGGTAGGTATCTGCCTACAAGATGTAATTTAATGGGTATGAAAGGTCTTTTATTTTTTCCCCTTCACACCTGTCCTGCAGGTATCACAGGGACTGAAATTCTGCTAGCCAACTGCACTTTAGATTCAGATTCAATTTATACTTTTTCTAAGCACCAACTATACACCCAACTATTGCTGAATTTTTTATATACATGGTTTACGTGTTTAGTTTTTATGAGTGTTTTCCCCTCTTACAACCTACATACTATAGATATTTTACAAGTCAATCAAGAGTCACATGTGGGCAAAACTAATTTAGTATTCAAGTGAGAAAAATATAAAGTAGTCACAAATATTTGATTTTAAGATTAAAATTAGTAACCCCCAATTTTACTGAAATAACAGGAGCTATGTCTTATTCATCTTAGTTCATTGTATTCTTCCTAACACGCACACAAACACCCTTGGCTCTCCTTATGTGTAAATGACATTAAATACACATAATGAATCCTAAACAGAATAAACTGGTGACATCTCAAAGTAGTTGAAAGGGAAAGAAGCAACTAACATAAAGAATAAAAGTGTAAAGAGCCCAGAGTAATAGGGAGGCCAGGACAGGCCAGACTTCAAGGACAAGGAAGATGAATAATGGGAAACTCATAGAGAAAGTCAAGGATAACCTGGGGTTTATTCTGAACATTGCAACTCCTGTCACCATGCTCTCAACAGCAGTTCCCTGTTACTTAACAATCCATCAGTGCCTTCTATTTCCTATAGAATAAAGTCTGGATTATTTAGCCAGGTTATGCCAGGGTCTCCAAAACCTGTCCCATCTGTTCCTCTAGCATAGCTGATTTAGCCTCTCTAACCACAGTCTTTCCTGTAATGGGCATTTGTACCTGCCATTCTTTTTCTTCTTTCCTAACCATTCCACAAGCCAGCCCAAACATCTTCTGCAAAGCCTTCTCTGAGTTAATCCTTTCATCCTCTGTGCTGTGGTACCTCCTACACACTTTATATTGTAGCTTATTTGATCCAATAATTGCAATTTTATGTTTCCCTGGCCAAATTATCCACTAGACTGGGAACTCTTTGGAGACAGAAATTACACTCTACTTACTTATGTGTCCTCAGCCTTTTGTTCAGAGACTGTGGCATGGTAGGCATTCAGTAGATATCTGCTTGATGTGTGAAAATATGGAAATTTATGTTTCTTAGCCTGGCAGTCAAGGTCCTCTTCCAGTCTCACTTTCTAAAGATAAAATGTCATAAGGATTTGGTAAGCTTTTACTTTTCTAGGGATGTAAAATGAGGATGATAAATGTGCCTACTTCAATGGGTTATCATGAAGATTAAATAAAATGGTACATGTAAAACATTCAGCATGGTGTCAAATTGTTGACAAGGACTCAAATGGTATTGACTAGTATCATTATATGACACATTTTTCAATATAGATAGGTTTTTAAGATTATGTAAGAATAAATAAGTATAAGTATATGGTAAAGACTTTCAGTGCTGTGGAAATACTGAAGAGGATCACATAAAGGGGTGGAGTCGGGTAAGGAGTCAACACTGTCAGGCATCTGAATGCAGAGTAGGGAAAGCAGAGGGAAATTCCAAGGACAAGAAATCAAGACACCAGATCAGGGGGATTTAAAGATTACTTTCATTGAAAGAATTTTTTTCATAAAAATCTTTAACAGAGGAGGAAAGCTAGAGTATATTATGTTTAAATAAGCTGAAATTCTTGAGTATTTTGTGAAAGTTCTTCTCTGTGCTCAGTTTGACATATTTTAAATTAGAGGCTATCTTGATAAATTGCTTAGAATCTGAGCTTAAATTTCTTCCCTTCATTTTGTTGACAGAAGTCCTACATTGCTGATTTGCTTTCATTTTGTCTTAAGTCGGGACATTTCCCATGACAGTTAAATAATTTCTGTAATAACACTTCATGCATAACTGCTGGCTAACTATAGCATTATCCTTGCCATTTCTTTTTATAAGCATATACCATGAAAATTTGTGACAATTTTGTTAAAATATACAGTCTCAAATTGGTTTCTTACACATTCCTGTGAATTCTGAATTCTCTTCTTTGAAAGCTTCCTAGATAGCTCAGCATTCACTGGGTTCTCCACTTACTCCCTTGAAGGAGATTTTGAGTGCTTTGAGCAGCTATTACAAACTAGTTAACGGACTTGGGCCAAGTCAGTGCTCTCTTTTCTGCTTCCATTTTATCTCTTGCTGAATGGGAAGCTCTACCAAGCTCTATTCCTCCAGGGAAAGAGTGTACAGATAAGTGAAACAACATATTTGAACTATTTTATAGATCCCTAGAAGAAAGGAACCAAGAACATAATTCTTTGACCTAGTTAACAATTTTTGGCCTGCTTTGTGCTATTGTTGGGTTTGTAGTGACCTTTGTTTGCTGTTTTCCCTTCCTTTCTGCTCTGTGGACTACTGTCAATTTATTGTCACTACTTCAGGCACATAAAACTGGTGAACAGCAAGGAGATTCTTTACTCTCAGTTATTAGACAATATCTGTCTTTTAGAAGTACCATACAGATGAGGATACAGTTCAAGTTTCAGTCAGGGATTTATCTCCCAGGCATCTTTCTACCAAAATGTGTTGACCATCTCCCTTATCACTATGCTATCATAAAATAAGTATTCAAATAACCATGGCTTTATACATTTGGCCAAGTTCAAAAAGAAAGGTTGCTCTTCTAGCAAATACATGTAAACAGCTTGAGAAGTACAATAAAAGTGCATCCTGCCGCAATCTGTCATTCCATGCCCACGCTGTTAGGTGCTGCTCTTCACGACCATGTCCAAGACTCTGAAAAAGTTTGTGGAGAGCCAGGAAGTGGACAGGGTGACTAGGTCATCTACAACATGCTGTATGTCAATGGCACATTTTCCTTATCCCATACCATACAACTGGTCCTCAGCCATAACAAGCTCACAGTGGTGCCACCAAACACAGCAGAACTGAAGAATTTGGAAGTGCTCAACTTCCTTAATAGCCAGATTGAGGAGCTGCCCACACAGATCGGCAGCCTTCAGAAACTCAAACACATGAACCTGGGCATGAATGGGCTAAATACTTTGCCTGAAGGATTTTGCTTTCTACCCAGCTCTTGACCTTCTGGACTTGATGTACAATTTGAATGAGAATTCTCTTCCTGGAAACTTCATCTACCTTACTACCTTCCGTGCACTCTTATGTAAGTGACAATGATTTTAAAATCCTGCAACCAGATATTAGGAAGCTCACAAAGTTGCAGATACCCAGCTTTAGGGATAACAACCTGATCTTGCAGCCTAGGGAAACTGGGGAGTTTACCCAGCTTAAGGAACTCAACATTCAGGGCAACTGCCTGACCCTTCTGCTCCCAGAACTAGGAAACTTATATTTAACTGGTCAGAAGAAGGTATGCAAAGTGGAGAACAGCCCCTGGGTTACCCCAATTGCTGGCCAGTTCCAGCTTGATGTGTCCTGTGTGTCTGAATGTGTCTGTTCTGAGACATATGAGTACCTCTATGGCAGCACATGCAGGCAAATCCAGAACCACCAAAACATAATAATCACAAATCAGAAAAGATGAGCTGGAAACACCTGACAGACAGTAACAAATAAGAGGTGGGCATTGGCTGGGCCTCTGGCCTCTTCTCTCACCAACATTTCTGTCCTTTCTTGCTCTGTCTCTCAAATAAATGCAATGTGCGTGTGAAAAATAAAGACATACAATAAAAGGCAAAATGTATTTTATAACTCAACATTCTATCCTTAAATACTTGGGAATTACTCTTTTAACAAGTTCAGTTACTAGCATAAGTGATTTAACAAGGAATCAAGTATAATTGGATTCTAAGTACCTTCAGGTACAATTTGACCCAAATTGTTTTATTCAGTAACAGAAGAAAACACTGCACCTTATTTGTAACTTGACTGCATTTTCTAGGAAGCAGATAAGGTCAGATACTTCAGAAGAACTATTTATCTGCAAGGAGATATCCTTGTACCACACAGAGATTTAGAGGAATTAAAAAAAAATTTTGTTTAAATTTTTTTTGTGTGTATATGGTGCAATTCAGTGCTTTTCCACAAATGATTCAATGGGAGACCATAGAAATAAGTTAGTATTAGTGTGGTCTTTGAAGCCAAACTGACCTCTTTACATAACTAGGCTTCAGCTGTGTAATCTTAAGCACGTTACTTAAATCCTCCAAGACTCAGTTAGCTCATCTATAAAATGGAGTTAAGCGTCTAACTTTTTAATAGAGCAAGATTAAATGAAATTAGGAATGAAACATGCTTTGCACAGTACATGGCACATAAGAAGCAAACAATAACTATTAACCATACTTATTCTCATCTATAAAGTAGATGAAATGACTTCCCATTTTAGACTCTGCAGAACCTAATTATATTATAGTTAAAAATATGCAGTATAAATGCTAGCCTATGTTAAGTGAAATAAGCCAGGCACGGAAAGACAAACATCACATGTTCTCACTTATCTGTGAGAACTAAAAATTAAAAGCAGTTGAACTCATGGAGATAGAGAGTAGAAGAATGGTTACCAGAGGCTGGGAAGGGTAGTAGCGGGGGGATGGTTAATGGGTACGAAAAATAGTTAGAAAGAATAAATAAGACCTAGTATTTGCTAGCACAACAGGGTGACTATAGTAAAAATTAATGTAATTGTTCATTTTAAAATGACTAAAAGAGTATATTTGGATTGCTTGAAACACAAAAGATAAACGCTTGAGGTGATGGACACCCTACTTACCCTGATGTGATTATTATGCATTGCATGCCTGGATCAAAATATCTCATGTGACCCATAGATATATACACTTATTATGTACCCTCAAAAATTAAAAATTAAAAAAATAAATGCTAGTAAACCACAGATGGTAAGTCTTAGGAAATCTTGCATCACATTAAATTCTGTTTCTCACACAGTCTTTGTCATCCAGTGTATATTTTGCATTTATAGCACGTCTCAATTAGATTAACCTCCTTTCAAGTTCTCAATTGCTATGTGAAGCCACCATATTCGACAGTTCAGGATTGTGCAATTTCCACCTTCCCATTCCCAGTTGAGTAATTCTTATCTGGAGATGATCTCAGCTGGAAAAAGGGAATCTCTGCATTTTGCTTGTCAGTCCTGAGGCCAGTGACAGCTGTGCTTTTCTACGTTACTAAAAGAAGGTTTGGCATCAATGTTTAAAAAAATATAAAAAAGTGCATCTCTCATCCTGAGAGTCAACTTGAGCAAATGCAATCAGTCAGTCTTTCTCTAACCCTTGTGTAAATCTGGAATGTGTTTCTTTCTGCAGTTTGACATGAGACCCGTCTCTAGATTGTAAAAATCAAACAAAACTGTCTGACCCTGAAATTGATTCTGCAGCCTTTCCAAGTCCAAGGACTTGCTTCCCTGGGCAATTGTGAGGCTCTCGTTTTAGTGCCTCAGAGAAGCAGAGAAAATACAGATACAGACAGAACGAGATAATAGTAATAGCAATAGAATCAATAACTACACTTTCACTAGCATACGTTCTAGCATTTTCTGAGGCCTATGTGCCAAGAAGTGTGCTGTCTTAGATATCCATCATCTGATTTAATAGAATATAGTATTTTAAAAATTGGATCTCCTGAGGTTTTACAGAAAGACCCTTATTTAGATGAGCTCTTTTAAAAACTAAGGTCAATCAAATTAGATACAGCACTACTAGCTTGCATTGTCAACCACATTAAATGTAATTTTCTTAAAGGATACCTTTCTACCCTCAAAAGCTCATGCACACTAAGGTTGACTTTTCTTTATAATCTTCCTAACTACAGAATATTATTACTGTTATTTTAATGTTCAATTTTTAAATTATTTGAAAGCATTTATTGAGCAGTTACAATATGCTGGGCACTGACCTAAGTACTTTATCTACATTATCTCATTTAATCCCTATGGAAACTAAATAGTAGACATTTATATTGTCATTATATTCATTTGTTAGATTCATTTACATATGGAAAAATAGATGCTCAGTGATGTTAACAACAAAATGAAGAAAAATAAGCCACTTCCATTTTCACAAAGACACTAATTGACAGAGGTGGAACTCAAACCTGAAAAAGTTTTTGTGAGCATACTATTAGCGAATAAAATATTGCTACGATATGATATATTTATGCATAGCACAGTAATTTGTTTCCTCAAAAATTATATGAAATAATTACCTTTTTATCTCTTCATCGTGGAAAAATTAGCCTAGATTACAAAAATCAAGGCAAGAAGTTGTTTTTGTTTCAAATAGCACTAGACTTATTTAGTTATTAAATAGTTCAATATTGGATAAAAGTGTAAGCTCCAGAATTAGATGACCTATATTCAGACTCTAATAATTTCCAGCTGAGTAATCAAGAACAAGTTATTTAACTCCCCTAAACCTCATTTTTCCCATCTGCAAAATGGAAGTAATAACTGCAATAGATTAATGCAGTTAGCACTGTGTCATACACATAGTAAGACCTTCATGAGTATTAGGTTGGTTGTTATAATAATAAGAATTAAAATCTTATATATTTCTGCATTCTACAAGAAGTTCACAATACCTGGAGAAGGATGCTCTTTTTCTTTTTTCTAAATTGATATGTCAGGCTGGACACAGTGGCTTCCACCTGTAATCCCAGCACTTTGGGAAGCCAAGGCAGGAGGGTCACTTGAAGCTAAGATGGGTCTAGAGACCTTGTCTTTACAAAGAAAATTGTTTTAGTTAGCTGGGCATGGTGGCACGTGCCTGTAGTCCCAGCTACTCAGGAGGCTGATGCAGAAGATTGCTTGAGCCCAGGAGTTTGAGGCTACAGTGAGTTATAAGCACATCGCTGAACTCCAGTCTGGGTGACAAAGCAAGTCCCTGTCTCTAAAAATAAAATAAAATAATTTATATGCCATAGTAGTACATATCTTTGGGATGCATGTGATACTTTGATACATGTCTACAATGTGGAATGATTACATCAGAGTAATTGGGATATCCATCTCCTCAAACATTTATTTTTTCTTTGTGTTGGGAATATTACAATTCTTCTAGCTATTTTGAAATATACAACAAATTATTATTAACTGTATAACTATAAAATACTATACTATTGAACACTAGAACTGATAGCTTCTCTCTCTTTATTTTTGTACCCATTAACCAACTGTTCTTCATTCCCCATCCTTCCTTTCCTTCCAGGCCTCTAGTAACCACCATTCTACTTTCAACCAACATGAGATCCACCTTTTTAGCTCCCACGTGTGAAAGGAAACATGTGATGTTTGTCTTTCTGTGCTGTGCTTATTTCACTTAACACAGTGACCTCCAGTTCCATCTACATTGCTGCAAACGACAAGATTTTATCCTTTGTTATAGCCCATTAAGGTTCCATTGTGGGCCGGGCGCGGTGGCTCACGCCAGGCCGAGGCAGGCAGATTATCAGGTCAGGAGATCAAGACCATCCTGTCTAACACGATGAAACCCCGTCTCTACTAAAAATACAAAAAAAAAAAAAAAAAAAAATAGCCGGGCGTGGTGGCGGGCGCCTGTAATCCCAGCTACTCGGGAGGCTGAGGCAGGACAATGGCGTGAACCTGGGAGGCGGAGCTTGCAGTGAGCCGAGATCGCGCCACTGCACTCCAGCCTGGGCGACTGAGCGAGACTCCGTCTCAAAAAAAAAGATTCCATTGTGTATATATCTAACATTTTCTTTATGCATGTGTCCACTGATAGACACTTATGTTGCTTCCATATCTTGACTATTGTGAATAATGCTGCAGTAAACATGGGAGTGCAGATATCACGTTCATGTACTGATTTCCTTTCAGCAGTGAGATAGCCAGATCATGTAGTAGTTCTCTTTTTAGGCTTTTGAGGAATCGCCATAATGTTTTCTGTAATAGCTGTACTAATTTACACTCCCACCAACAGCATAAAAGAGAACCCCTTTCTTTACATCCTCTCCAGTACTTGTTATCCTTTCTCTTTTTATAGCCATTCGAACTAGGGTGAGATGATATCTGTTTGTGGTTTTAATTTGCATTTCCCTAATAATTAGTGATTTTGAGCATTTTTTGAAATACACCTGTTTGCCATTTGTAGCTCTTTTTTCCAGAAATATCTATTCAGGTCTTTTACCCACTTTTAAATTTGATGATAATGATTTTTTTGAAGTGATTGAATTGTTTGAGTTTGTTTTGTTTTGTTTTGAGACAGAGTCTCGCTCTGTCACCCAGGCTGGAGTACAATGGTGTGATCTCAGCTCACTGCAACCTCTGCCTCCTGGGTTCAAGCAATCTTTGTATTTTTAGTAGAGACGCAGTTTCACCATGTTGGCCAGGCTGGTCTCGAACTCCTGACCTCAAGTGAAACGCCTGCCTCATTCTCCCAAAGTGTTGGGATTACAGGCGTTAGCCACCGTGCCTGGCTCTTCAAGTTTTTCAGTGTATCCCTTGTCAGATGGATAGTTTACAAATATATTCTTCGATACTGTAGGTTTTCTCTTCGCTTTGTTGTTTCATTTGCTATGCAGAAGCTTTTTAGCCCATTGTAATTCCATTTTCCTATATTTGCTTTTGTTGCTTGTGCTTTGTAGGTCTTACCCAAAAAATCTTGACCCAGGCCAATGTCCTATAACGTTTCTCCAATATTTTCTTCTAGTAGTTTTATAGTTTCTTTCCTGACTGTGCAGGGACTTGCTGGGAGACGCAAGCCTCTCTGAGCCAACAAGACCTGGTCCCCCAGTGTTGGCCTGACAGCAACCTCCTCAGGGGCCCAGTCTCAGCTCCAACCATTCTACTGCATTCCATCTGTGCTGAAACCTGCTGGGAGACATGCACCAGCCTGAGCCAAGGAGAAAGGGGTCTCCTTTTTGGTTTTAGAAAAGAGAGGGAGAGGATACTGTTTTCTGAGTACTGACTTTGATGAGGTGCCAAGCAACCTTAGAAAGCTGCTCATCTGTCTCATCTTGTGTCACATGTCAAGAGTTTCCCACTTTTGCACTAGGTGTTTGTAGCATTAACCTAAGTCCTTTGGATTGCCTAATAACACTAGACCTGAAGCAGTTGAATAGACTTATGATTATGTGTTTCTATTAAAGAACTTAGATACCTATCTGAAATGTAATAGTTTGCAAGTTCCCAATTTAATTTACTATTCATACTTTAAATTAGTTAGGAAGACTGGAAGAAGTTTAAATGCAACTACTGACCTCATTTCAGTTTTCAAGTCAACTTGCAAATTTTTCAAGTGACAGCACTTTTGAGATAACGGAGTTATAGGTTTATCAGCATGGGTCTGGATATAAGGTCTGGCATTCCTATGGCTATTTAAATTGCTCCAGACACATATTTCTGAAAATTATGATGATAGGAGTAAATAAGTTTCTGGGACATAATGACATCAATTCTGTAGTAAATTCTTTTTTCATTAATATCCTGCAAATTATCAAATTAATGGATAAAATACCCAAGTAATTACTCCAGAGAATATACAAGATGCATTTTAAGTTTGCTAGCTTTGCCTTTAAAAAATAGCTAATTTTCTTTCTTGATGTATGGGCAAGAAGAGATTGGCTAGAGTAAAAACAAAGTTACTTTCAACATAACGATTTCTTTATCATAAATACAAGCCTCAGCTCACTGACTGTCATGTGATTTTAAAGAATAGCTTTCCCAGTGTTTTCCCTTTGGGACACAGATTATTTAAGTGCTGAATACAGTAACTTAAATATCTTCTTCAACATAGAATAAAAATCTTGACTTTTTTCATTAGGTTAGAATTAGTGCATAGAAGCTAAGAAATAGTAAAACTTATGTAATCACATTATGCTTGGGAAACTGTTTTCTTGCAAACAAAGGTATTTGTCTCTTATTTATTGTGTTGATCATGAAAATAGTATCTCTACCCTGAGGTGTTACAAAAAATTAATCAAGTCAGCATGTATACTGCATATGTGTCTTCTGGAATATTTACCATTTAATCAAGAACCTAAAAAATATATAACCTAGCTCCCAAAAAGTAACATCAGTGGTTAATTGTCAGGTTAAAGAAAAGTAAAATAAGGCTGGGCATGGTGGCTCACGCCTGTAATCCCAGCACTTTGGGAGGTCGAGGTGGGTGGATCATTTGAGATCAGGAGTTCATGAGCAGCCTGGCCAACATGAAGAAACCCTGTCTCTACTGAAAATACGAAAAAGTTAGCCAGTCCTGGTGGTGTGCAGTTGTAATCCCAGCTACTCGGGAGCCTGAGATAGGAGGATTGCTTGAACTCGGGAGGCAGAGGTCTCAGTGAGCCAGGATCGCACCACTGTACTCCAGTCTGGGCTACAGAGTGAGACTCAATCTCAAAAAAAAAAAAAAAAGTAAACTAAAACAAGATAGCAAAAAATGTGTTTCTCTTTTCTTTTTTAAAAATGTTTTTAAAAAATTAAAGAATTAACAGATAAAATTGCACGTACAGACATGTGTCACTTAAGGTCAGAGATATGTTCAAAGAAATGCATTGTTAGGTAATTTTATTGTGCAGACATCATAGAGTATATTTACAAAAGCCTGGATGCTATAACCTACTACACACCTAAGGTATGCAATACAGCCTATTGCTTTGAGGCTACAAACCTGTACAGTGTGTTACTCTACTGAATATTTTAGGCCATTTTAACACAATGATAAGTATCTGAGTATATAAATATGTCTAAACATAGAAAGACACAGTAGAAACACAGTATTACAATCTAATTGAGATCACCATCATATATATGATTCATCACTGACCGAAATATCATTATGTGGCACATGACTGTATTTACCATGCAAAAAATGATAGTTTGAAGTATATATACATTGTGGAATGACTAAGTCTAGCTAATTACCATATGCATTACCACAGGTAGTTACCATTTTTGTGGTGAGAACACTTTATATCTATTAGCATTTTTCAAGAACACGGGAATATTATTAACCATAGTCATGAGGTTATACAATAGATTTCTTGACCTTATTCCTCCTACATTACTGAAATTTTGTATCCTTCGACCAATATCTTCTCAACCGCTTCCAAAATCCCTCCCCACTCCAGCCCCTGGTAGCCACCATTCTACTTTTTACTTTTGTGAGATAAGTTTTTTAGATTCTACATATAAGTGAGATCATGCAATAAATTTCTTTCTGTGCCTGGCTTATTTCACTTAACGTGATGTCTTGTAGGTTCATCCATGTTGTCTCAAGTGACAAGATTTCCTTCTTTTTAGAAGGTTGAATAGTATTCCATTGTACATGTTTGTGACATTTTCTGTATCCATTCATCCACTGATGGACACTTCGGTTGATTCCATAGCTTGGCTATTGTGAATAGTGCTGCAATGAACACGGAAGTGCAAATATCTCTTCAATATACTAATTTTATTTCCTTTGGATATATACCTAGTGTTGGTGTATATTGGTATATAAGTGTATATACATTGGCATTGATGGATTATATGGTACTTCTATTTTTAACTTTTTGAAGAAACTTTATACTGTTTTTCATAATGGCTGTATTAATTTACATTCACACCAAAGTACACCAGGATTTCCTTTTCTCCACATCTTCGGTGATACTTGTTATCTTTTGTCTTTTTGATCATAGCCATTCTAACAAGTGTGAAGTGATACCACACTGGAATTTTAATTTGCATTTCTCTGATGATTAGTGATGTTGAGCATTTTTTAATATACCTGTTGGCCATTTGTTTGTCTTATTTTGAGAAATGTCTATTCAGGATCTTTGCCTATTTTGGGGAGATATTAGGTACATTTTATTTTTTTATTTGTTTTTTATTTCAGAAGGTTTTTGGGGAACAGGCGTTGCCCATTTTTAATGGAGTTACTTGTACTCTTGCTATTAAATTGTCTTAGTTTCTTACATATTTTAGGCATAGTTTGCAAATATTTTCTCCCATTCTGTAGATTGCCTCTTCACACTGTTGATTATTTCTTTGCTATGTAGATGCTTTTTATTTTGATGTAATTTGTCTATTTTTGATTTTGTTGCCATTGCCTTTGGTGTCATATCCAAAAATTCATTGCCCAGGCCAATGTCATGGAACCTTTTCCCTAGGTTTTCTTCTAATAGTTTTATAGTTTTTGGCTTTACATTTAAGTATTTAAATCATTTTTAGTTTATTTTTGTATATGATGTGAGATAAGGGTCTAATTTCATTCTTCTACATGTGGATATTCAGTTTCCCCTGCACCATTTATTGAAGAGAACGCCCCTTTGCCCTTATATACTCTTGGTGCCTTTGTCATAAATCAGTTGGCTGTAAATGTGGAGATTTATTTCTGCCCTGTCTCTTCTGTTCCATTGGTCTATGTGTCTGTTTTGTCATACAAAAGACATAAGTAATTTACAAATACCATTACAGTATTAGAGTATTGTGAATTTAACTGTGTACTTATTTTTACCAGCGGGTTTTATACTTTCAGAGTTTTTGTGATACTCACTAGCTTTTGTGCTTTCAGCTTAAAGAATTCTGTCTAGCACTTTTTGTAATGAAGTAGGTGGTAATGAACCCCCTCAACTTTTGTTTTTCTGAAAATGTCTTTAATTCTCCTTCATTTCTGAAGGACAGCTTTGCTGGCTACAGTATTCTTAGCTGGGTTCCTTGTTTTTTGTTTTTTTGTTTGTTTGTTTGTTAGTTTTAACAATTTAAGTATGCCATCCCACTCTCTCCTGGCCTGTAAGATTTTTGCTGCGAAGTCTTCTGCTAGCTGTATTATAATTTTTTATAAGTTATTTGCTTCATTTCTCTTGCTGCTTTCAGGCTCTTCTCTTTGGCTTTGATTTTTGAGTTTGATTGTACTATGTCTTAGGGAAATCTTTTTTTTTTTTTTTGGATTAGATATGATTGGAGACTTTTGGCCTTGTACTTAGATACTTACATCATTCTCCAGATTGAGAAAGTTTTCTGCAACTGTTTTTTTAAAATAAATGTTCTAACCCCTTTATCTTTCTCTTTTCCTTATTTAACTCCCATGACTTGTACATTTGCTCTTTTATTTATTTATTTATTTATTTATTTATTTATTTATTTATTTTTTATTTATTTTTTTTTTTTGAGATGGAGTCTCACTCTGTTGCTCAGGCTGGAGTGCAGTGTTGCAATCTCAGCTCACTGCAACCTCCACCTCCTGAGTTCAAGTGATTCTCCTGCCTCAGCCTCCCGAGTAGCTGGGATTGCAGGCATGCGCAACCATGCCTGGCTAATTTTTGTATTTTTAGTAGAGATGGGGTTTCACCATGTTGGCCAGGCTGGTCTTGATCTCCTGACCTCAGGTGATTCACCTGCCTTGACCTCCCAAAGTGCTGGGATTACAGGCGTGAGCCACCACACCCGGCCACGTTCTCTCTTTTGATGCTGTTCCATACATCTTGTAAGCTAGAAATATTACAAGAATTTCTTTACTTTTCGTATTTTTTCTCATCTGACTGTATATTTCCATGTATTTCTGACTGTATGTTTTCAGTTTCACAGATTGTTTCTTCTGCATGATCTTTTCTACTGTCAATGACCTCTATTGCATTTTTTCATTTTGTATTGTTTTCTTCCAAGATTTCTGTTTGACTTTTTTCAAATCCTGTATTAAATTTATCATTCTGGTCACATTGATTTCTTCATTTGGTGAATTGTTTCTTTATATTTTCTTGGAGTTTGCTGAGCCTTCTTAAAAGAACTATTTTGAATCTTTTTCAAGCAATTATGTTTGTTTAGTGATATGATATTTCCCCAATAGTTCTTGATCCTTGTGTCTGCATATTTGAGGAATTAGGTATTTATTCCAGTCTTTGAAGACTGGCTTTGTTAGGAAAAGCCCTGTGGCAGGTACAGCACTGAGGTGTATCAGAAGCTGGGGCAGCTGTGGGTGGCACGGTGCTCCTCATAGTCTCAGGTGTGCCACAGCAGTTGCAGTCCTGGGGTAGTTCAGAAGGCCAGGACAGATGTGGCTAGCATGGTGCTTCATTCAAAAAGCCTGTGGCTCTCTGTCGTAGGCATGGTGCTGGGGTGGCAGAAGCCCTTGGCAGATGGTGCTTCCAGAATCCTTGGGACCACTACAGCCCACCCAGTACTGGAACAAGCTAGAAACATCGGTCAGAGGTACCTGGCATGGAATTAGGGCATACTAGAAGCCAGAGGCCACTGCGGCCAGGACTGCCTGCTGCTGAGGGATGTCCAGAGCCCAGAGCTGTTGAAGTAAGTCCCATGGTGGTGCAAGCTGGAGACTGGGTTCACCAAGCAAGTGTGAAACTTGGAGCTTCGTGGTCTCATCTGGTGCCAGAGTGTTCTAGAGGCTCAGTCTGTGAGTACCAGCCTGAAATACAGGTCTGGGGGTTTCTGTCCAGCTGGGTTTTACTGTGGCAGACCCAGTGTTGGGGTCCAAGGCAAAGTCCTGTGCTCACTTTCCTCTCTTTTCTCCAAGTAGATGGCATTTCTCTCCATGCTTAGCTGTGCAACCTGAGGTTGGGGGAGGGATGATGTGAGTAATGCAAAATTGCCTTTCTATCATCATCAATGTGTCTTTTCTTATTATTGTGCTGCAACTACATACCGTGACCTCTTACCTGGGTTCCTTAGCTTTTGTGAACATATTTTCATGCATGGATATATGTGCAAATCAATGCTTCTCCTGGGGCAAGTATGATCACTGGAGAGTTCCACTCCATCATCTTTCTCTGCCCCCTAATCTATGGTTTTGTTAAAATGAATAAGAACTATTTCTTATGTCAGCTGGTTTTAGTAGGCCTTTAAGTTGTCATGTGGCTTAATGGGTGTTTTTGAAGAATAATCCTGAAGGGGAGCAACAAAAAGGTCATGGTTATCATTAATTGTGATTATAATCACCCACAAATATTTACTGAACACCCATTCTGAACAAGGTACTCTCATAAATACAGTCATGCCCTCAACTAAATATTTCTTTGGTAAACATTCTTTTGACATGAAATCTTAATGAAGGGAAAGACTTACCTCATCAAAATGGATAGATATCCATCAAATCCCTTTAAAAAATATGGAGAAATGTCTGGTATGCTTTTGAAGATTTTTGAAATGATTTTTCTCTTCCTTAGACCAGTTTTGAAATGCTTTGAAAATGTTTATTTTTACAGGGAAGACATAACACTGAAAACATTATTTGTAGGTAGAATGAGGTCCTAATGAAATTCACAGGAGTTCCATGTCAGAAAGTGCATGCAGTGGTGTTCATAATTTCAGGGAGGAAAATGGGCCATGCTATTCCTTATAGAACTTGGTACCGGACCTCAATTGTGACCAATTCAAATTTTCTACTCCCCTCCACCTAAAAAAATCACACTGAGGAAGGTGAAAAAGATCAGCTTTTTATAACTTTTTAGTAAAATTTAGTTTAGCAGTGTTGAATATATTTCAAGGGCCAAAATTTAGGTAAAACTATGAGCTATTCAATGGGCAGTTGGGTTAGAGGGAAAATCTATGTATGTAAAGATAAAAAGTCACAAGGTTAGGTAGTATTAAAGAAAATGAAGATGATGTTAACCCAGTGACTGTAGGGAAACTCTTATGGAGAGGGAGAGAGTTAGTTTCTGGCTTCTGTTGACCTACTGTTCACTGAATCGATTAGTATAGTTACTTTTTCATACCATCTCACTGGCCTCAACCATTGGCATCTTTGCCTAGAAGGAACCACGATTTGGGAAAACATGAAGGACTACTCTCCTTGTGCCCTGTGGAAACAGACCTAAGTTCTGAGTGACCCAGGCAGCCTTCTGTTGGTCTCTCTGATTTCCCCATCACTGTAGAGTAGAACAGGGATCAGTAATAGTCAACATTTATTCAGTGCTAACTAGAGCAGAGAGTGCTATCTCCTTTAACCTCCTAACAGCTCTATGAAGTAGGTACAATTATTATCTCATCTTGAAGATGAGGATACTGAGGTTCAGGCAGTTTACATAACTTGCCACAAGCCACAAAACGGTGGGTGGACATCATGGTCTTAACTGAAGATATGACATTTTTAACTACTTTCTCAAAGCCATCTCTTAAAGAAGCTGGTATAAGTCTACTCAGTGTTCATGCCCATGGCTGAAGCAGAAATAGCTTGGGTTTTGAAGATAATGTAAACTCAAATCTCAGCCTAGTTATCTACTCAATGTGTGACACTGGCTATCTAATTCAACCTTCAGTATTGGTTATCTTAATTGTTGTGAAGATAGTAAACTTAGCTCATGTTAGTGCTTACTATGTGCCAGGCACTGTTTCAAGCACTTTATGAATTAACTTAGTAGTCTCTACAATATAACTATGAGGAAGATACTGTTATCACCCTCAGTTTTACTAAGGTACATGGTGGTTAAGTGAGTTGCCTGAAGTCACCCAGTAGGAAAATGGTAAACCTGAGATTCAAACTCGCATAATTTCTAACTGCTCTGGTCTTCTGACTGTGGAGAGAAAAAAGCTTAGCACATGTTGACTGTGTAGAACATAGCGAGGTGCTCACCCATCATAAATGCCCATCCATTTTCCCTGTTTATCCAAAATGTTTGTATAAAATTATTTCAAATATTTTTTCTGGGTTTCTAAAGGTAATAGTACTGAAGTGCAAGGCAGCTTCCATGTTCCTCAAATACATCAGTGAACATGATTTTTCATGCTTTCACTGACAGGTATTAGAGATGCTACAGATGGAAGACAGAAAATCCAAGCCAGTTCTATCAGGTGGTCCTTCAACATACCTTTCTCTATTGATCCTTTGCTTTAACCTTAATCACCTTATTCTTGTTCTCTTCACTTTGTACCTGCATCATAGTAACAGCTCCATAACTAGTCTCTCAGCTTCATTTTTGCCCTGCTTAAATTCATTTTTAACAAATTGCACCCAGAGTTATTTTTCAAACACACCAATTGTGTCGCTGTTCTTTTAATTGATTCAGACAGCATTTATGATAATGCCGAAACTCTTTAATAAGGCCATTTATGTCTCATCTCTTGCCTCTGGTCTTCTTCCCATGCTGGTTTTATTGGCTTGTAATAGGAGTCCACTGCCCTTCCTTTCTTTCTCTCTCTCTTTCTCTCTCTCTCTCTCTCTCTCTCTCTCTCTCTCTCTCTCACTCACACACACATACAAACACACATGCATTGACCATCTTTGCTTGGGTGTCCCCTTCTACTACTCTTCAGATCAGATCTCAACTAAAATGTAAATTCTCCAGGATATATATATTTTCTCCAAGTACAAATCAGATACCTTTCTAAGATATGTGTTATCACACCATCTGAAATTAATTTTCTGCCTGCTCTAGAATGCAAGTTATATGAGGGAAGAAACCGTGGCCTGGAATATAATAGACACTCAATAAACATTTATTGTTATAAATGAATGAATGAATGATTGAATGAAGAGATTCGTAATTAATGAGGTCTAACATAGTAATGGCTTCTTGCAGAACCTCTTCAGCACCACTGTATTTCAAGCAATCTAATCCTTTGTTCCTCTCTTCCGTGGCCTCTTTTCAGCCAAGCCATACTTTTGCTTACCCCAACTCCAATAAAAGTAATCCGTTTCCAAGGAACAACTTTTATCTAGCTAAATTGGCTATGAACTCCCACCCATTTCTGAAATTTTCTGTAATGGCAGAGAGAGGGTAAAGGAGGGAACCAGCAGTTATTGCTTTCACAGAAACAATAGAGGAGTTAAAGAAGCTTAAACAGGAGCATGGTGACTAAAGGAGCCCTAATTAGAGGAGAGCAGAGGCAGAGGGAATCAGGGTGCCTAAAAGGGAATGTAGGAGAAGACTTTCAGACAGATGTGATGTCTAGATGTTTGCCTTTTCTATTAAGGGAAAAACAGGAGGACGTGTTTAAAACAAAATATGAGTGCCTTGATTAAGCAAAAAGGTTTTTCCTGTCAGGTTTCTTTTTTTTTTTTTTTTTTTTTTTTGAGACGGAGTCTTGCTCTGTCGCCCAGGCTGGAGTTGGAGTGCAGTGGCCCTATCTCGGCTCACTGCAAAGCTCCACCTCCCAGGTTCACGCCATTCTCCTGCCTCAGCCACCCGAGGAGCTGGGACTACAGGCGCCCACCACCACGCCTGGCTAATTTTTTATATTTTTAGTGGAGACGGGATTTCACCGCTTGTCAGGTTTCTTAATTCCCCCAAATTTTAAAACCTCTGTCTAAATCTGTAATATTTTAGTTTATCAATGTTCTGTGATTGGTCAACTTCTTATTTTACTTACCATCTTTGTATATTTTAGTTCTGTTGTTTTTGACACATTATATGAAAGGAGGTTTTTCCCAGACCTAGGAATCTAAGAATAAAACTGAGTTTTTAAACTTTTCTAAAATATTACTTACCAAAATATTTTCCTCTGTCCCATTACAAGCTAGTCATTATCTTCTTCTATATCAGAATTTAATATAATTTAGGTACACTTTTAAATTCATTTATGCTACATATTTTTTTTTTGAGATAAAGTCTTGCTCTGTTCCCCAGGCTGGAGTGCAGTGGCACGATGTCGGCTTACTGCAAACTCGGCCTCCAAGGTTCAAGTGATTCTCCCGCCCCAGCCTCCTGAGTAGCTGGGATTACAGGTGCATGCCACCACACCCTGCTAGTTTTGTGTGATTTTTAGATATCTGCACGAAAATACTACAGAGCTGTCACCTTACTTTCAGGGAGCAGCCAACTTCTATATAATTCAATGTTTCAACAAAGATCATTGAGTAGTTAATACATGCAGAGAACTATGGCTGGTTATAAAAGGTGTGGGTGCAGGTCTCTGTTTATGAATGGATTAAGTTTCAAGAATCCCTTTGTGAAAGTCAATTATGTAGAAACTTCAAATGCATTTTCCTACAGAAATCATGGTTATAAATGGTGATTTGATTTCCCCATATTTAACTCATAAGTTAGCCAAGATATGTTTGAAATAAAAAGTAGGAAAGAATGTTAGAATACCAAAAATCAATTAGAGAGCAATTATAGCAGGCTAGGCATGGTGGCTCATGCCTGTAATCCCAACACTTTGGGAGGCCAAGGTGGGCAGGTCACCTGAACTCAGGAGTTTGAGACCAGCCTGGCCAACATGGAGAAACCCCATCTCTACTAAAAGTATAAAAACTAGCCAGGCCTGGTGGTATGCACCTGTAATCCCAGCTACTCAGGAGGCTGACGCAGGAGAATCACTTGACCCTGGGAGGCAGAGTTTGCAGTGAGTCGACATCATGCCTCCGCACTCCAGCCTGGGCAACAGAGCAAGACTCCATCTCAAAAAATAAATAAATAAATAAATAAATAAAATAGCATAATTGAATTTAAAAGTACATCCAAATTATATTAAATTCTTGTATAGAAGAAGAGAATGACTAGCTTGTAATAGGACAGAGGAAACTCAATAAGCTGTCACATCCTCTCCCCCTCTTATGGCACACACTGCTAATTGATCATGGCCTCCATTTTCGTTAAGCCCTCAACCTCAAAATCCTTCTTAAAACAGTGTTTTCTGCAACCGCTACCATCCCAGTTATACCTGGCATAGAGAAATTGTTTGGCATTTTGTTGATAGAGATGGCATTACTTCCAACATTGTAAAGCAAAGAAACTTATAGTAGTCACTTGAGGACAGGAGGCAAGGTGGAGATAGGGGCAGACCAGTAATAAATGGACACTTCATGGCATTAGTTCACAGGATTTGGCCAAAACAAATGATTAACCTTAGATGAAAAACAGGGTTTCTAATGGCCATAATGCCCAAAATAATTTATAGATACAATGCTATTCCCAATAAACTACCACTGACATTCTTCGAAGAATTAGAAGAAACTATTTTAAAATTCACATGGATCCAAAAACAGAGCTCGTATAGCCAAGACAATTCCAATCCAAATGATCAAAGCTGGAAGTATTATACTACTGGACTTCAAACCATATTATAAGGCTACAGTAACCAAAGCAGCATGGTACTGTTACAAAAGCAGACACATAGACCAATGGAACAGAACAGAGAACTTAGGAATAAGACCACTCCTCTACAACCATCCAATCTTTGACAAACCTGAGACAAACAAGCAATGGGGAAAGGATTACCTATTTAATAAATGGTGCTTAGAGAACTGGCTAGTCATATGCAGAAAACTGAAACTGGATCCCTTCCTTATACCTTATACAAAAATTAACTCAACATGGATTAAAGACTTAAATGTAAAACCAAAAACTATAAAAACCCCAGAAGAAAATCTAGGCAATACAATTCAGGACATAGGCAAAGGCAGAAACTTCATGATGAAATTGCCAAAAGCAATTGCAAAAAAAGCAAAAATTGACAAATGGGATCTAATTAAACTAAAAAGCTTCTGCACAGCAAAAGAAATTATCATCATTATGAACAGGCAACCTACAGAGTGGGAGAAAATTTTTACAAACCAGCAATTTGACAAAGATCTAATATCCAGAATCTACAAGGAACTTAAACAAATTTACAAGAAAAAAATCAACCCCATTAAAAAGGACATGAAGGGACACTTCTCAAAGGAAGATATTCATGCGGCCCACAAACATATGAAAAAAAGCTCAACATTACTGATCATTAGAGAAATGCAAATCAAAACCACGATGAGATACCGTCTCATGCTGGTCAGAACAATGATTATTAAAAAGTCAAGAAACAACAGATGCTGGTGAGGTTGCGGAGAAATAGGAATGCTTTTACACTGTTGGTGGGAATGTAGATTAGTTCAACCATTTGGAGGAGGGTGTGGGGATTCCTCAAAAATCTAGAACCAGAAATAGCATTTGACCCAGCAATCCCATTGCTGGATATAAGCCCAAAGGAATATAAATCATTCTATTACAAAGCTACATGCATGTATATGTTCATTGCAGAACTATTCACAATAGCAAAGACATGGAATCAACTCAAATACCCATCAAAGATAGACTGGATAAAGAAAATGTGGCACATATACACCATAGAATACTATGCAGCCATATGGAGCTAGCAGCCATTATCCTCAGCAAACTAATGCAGGAACAGAAACCCAAACACTGCATGCTCTTACTTGTAAGTGGGAGCTGAACAATGAGAACACATGGACACAAGGAGGGGAACAACACACACTGGGGCCTGTTGGGCAGTTGGGTAAGGGGAGGGAGAGCATTAGGAAAAATAACTAATGCATTCTGGCCATACCTAGGTGATGGGTTGATGAAAATGAAATATGTTTGCCTTAATACCTAGGTGATGGGTTGATAGGTGCAGCAAATCACCATGGCACACATTTACCTACGTAACAAACCTGCACATCCTGCACATGTACCCTGGAACTTAAAATAAAAAATTAAAATTAAAGAAAAATAAGGGTTTCTAGGCTAGGGGTTAGCCACACTGAAACAGTCTGGTAGGAGGGAGGAAGTGGAAATGGAGCCACATAGCTAGTTATGAGATAGATGCCCTATAAATACATGGACCAGGGGCCATGGAACTTGTGTCAGAATTCTCAATGGGAAGCATCTCCCTGGATTGTGTAAAATGAGATGCTTACATGCAGCGCTGCCATTAACTGGGTAGTCAAGGATATTGGTTCTTTTATTCTAAAGTAGTTATCATTAGTCTTAATTGAACTTCATCATTTCAGATAAATCTGGGGATCTTTGGGATGTCTGATTAGTGATGCTATGATTCAATTAGATTGTACAGTCATAAATATTACCTGAGGTTGAAATATTTAATAGGGTACAGGATTTTGTTCCTACTTTTTTGTCAAATGATTTTCACAGAATAGCCCACAAAAGATATCTAGCGCAATGCTAAGTTTGTCCTGGAGAATAATTGGAAAAAAAATCAAAATGAAATATGATTGCCTTAAGAAATGACCAACTTAATAATAGGCCATGTTTGGAAAGCCCTGGGTAGCATATATCCATTTCACTGTCACATGTAAGTATTCATTAAATTGGGGGAATAAATTGTGAGAAGGGAATTCCCATAAGTAGTCTTAAATTTTGCCAAAGCTTAATTTTAAGCTCTATTTTCTAGGCAAAATCTTCAAAAGCCTTAATACTTGAAACATAAGAAATATAATTTCTTTGACCTTCTCCTTTACTTACCCTTCTTACTTTACTTAAAGGCTCAAGTTGTTTGAGCTTATAAAGTACTTGCTATGAATGGCCAAATATGTTTGAGTCATGGTTTTGGAAAATCACATGATCCATACCAGAGGAGAGCTGTGTCTTCAAATTATCTTCTAGAAAGGTTCACCAGAAAGTACAAAAATGTTTACATTTTAGAGAAAGGAAGGAGATATAAAGCATAATTCATCCTGAAATATTTATTTCAGAAATCATGCAATTTTCAAGATATCTTCCAAGTTTCCAGCTTTTTTCCTGACTTTAAATATTTTTAATAATTTTAATTTTCATTATACATATATATACATTCACTGTAGAAAATTTAGAAAACAAAAAAGAAAGTAAATAAAAATTTCATAAGATACCGTAACATTTTGTATACATTATTTCAATCTTTGTTCTATATTTATATATATTTATGTGTATATTCCTTTGCATATAAGTTCGTGTAGTATATGCTGTTTTTAACTATTTTCTCATGCAAAGTATATAATTAACATCTTTGCATGTAATTAAACATTATTCTACAGTATCATTCCAAAAGCCATATAGAAGAACTCCATATGATGAAAGCACTATGATTTAAGTATTATCTTACTGTTGATAATTTGGTTTTATTACAGTTTTTTACTTTTTAAAAAAACTCTGTAAATATTTTTGCTGCTTAATCTCTGGTCATCTCTGATTATTTCCTACAGATAAATTCCTAGAAGACTTGCTGAGACAAGATGTTATCACATTTTTAAGGCTTTTATCTTTCAAAAAGATTTCACCAACTTATACTTCCATCAGTAGTATGATGAACTGCTTTATTTACTTTCAGATGGAATAAAAGCCTCTGCTAGTGGATCTCAGCTTTATAACCATTTTATAGGAGAATCAGTCTTAGGATGATTATCCATTGACTTTTTGAAATAGTTGCCACTTTGTTGTGTCTACTTTTGTAGCATTAGCCTTCATTTCATTATGTCAGGTTAAAGACATTTTTATGTATTAAGAAATTCTAAAGAAAAGAAACCTATCGCTCTGATATTTTCCATTGATAGCTTGAACTGCTATTCTAACATGTTTATAACTCTAAACCATTTGTTTTTTAAGAGGTTCTTTCTAAGAATATATTGTACTTAACTGATGGACAAGGTTTTGACTTTGCCAAACTCATTTCTAATCATTTAATCCTTTTAAATCATCTTCCTCTTATCAGTTTAATCTATGTTAAGATTGTATTTTTATTCACAGTTTGCATGTCTACAAGTTTCCAAATGTTTACTTCATTTCAAAGTACTTGCTACTATAATAATGCATGTTAAACATAGATGAATATGCAAAGACTTAAAGCCATTTGGATTTAGAATTGCAAAGTCTCTTTTAGGTCATGAGCCAGGCATAATGCCCTACTAAGAGAAGAAATTACTGCATCAAATCACTCCTAAGCCAAACCAATACATATCTCATCATTTCATGAAAGCTATCTAGCTTCAGAGAACACCTAACTTAATGCATTCAGTTGTCTGGAAAAACAGCCGAGGAGTTTTTCTTTGAGAAAAGTTCAGTGCCTGATAATCAATAGAAAACCATAGACAATATCTGAAGTCTCAAAAGCATATGTCTGGAATGTCGTGAATAAGACAATCTAATGGGGCAGATGGGGTAAGAGGGTCATTTTATCCATATTAAAAAGATTAAAAACCAAAGTTCTCAGTAATTGATTCTACATCTCACATAGACCTACATGCAGCTTGTTGATAGAAAAAAATCCTCCTCAGAAACTTTCCCCGTTAGCTAATTCAAAATATCCATTCATCCAAAGAGTCTCTACTCCATACACTTGGTGGGAAACCAGACTGATTTCCATAAAATATCCATATTTTATCATCACAGCTCATAGCATCAAATACATATTCCAGTGTTTAAATTGCCTTGAAGTCAATTAAGGGAGTAAAGGGATTTAACAAGAGGTGCCTGAGAAAGATGTATTTCAAAAGATTTTATAAACTATTACTTTTTTTAAAGGCAATTTCTGTGAATAATTTTCTTAAATATTTATCTACATAGAATTGTGTTAGAAAAAGAAAGCCAGGTTATTCTTTTGAGGTTTTATATTGTAAAAGTCAACAGGAAGTTATTTTTATCATGATTCACACCCTGCGGTTGAGCAAAGGCTGAGCATGATAGAGGCAGAACAAAGAGAAGTAAAGCCTGTTGTTGGGACTGTTGTTTAAATATCCTTTTCTTCTGACCCCTACACAGTGCTCTGCTTACGTTTGATACTTTAAGGATCCCTAACTTCTCTTGTCTTCCCTAAGGCAAGTGTTATGGCTGGGAACTTAAATGGCTATTCTTAAACCTCACAGTGTAAAGTGTGTCTCCAACTCGTTCCATATTGTTTTAGAGCCACTTGTGATTTAATGTGGTACATTTCTTCTCCTGGCACTTGATATTTGATAGGAAGTGGTGTATAGTGACTTAAAGGAACAAGAGAGTTCCAAGGGTAAAGTATCTGTATTAGTTGGCTCTCATGCTGCTAATAAAGACATAATTGAGACTGGGTAATTTATAAAGAAAAGAGGTTTAATGGACTCAGAGTTCCCCATGGCTGGGGAGGCCTCACAATCATGGCAGAAGGCAAATGAGGAGCAAGTCACGTCTTACATGGCAGCAGGCAAGAGAGCTTGTGCAGGGGAACTCCCATTTGTAAAACCATCAGATCTTGTGAGACTTATTCACTACCATGAGGACAGTATGGGGAAACCTCCCCCATGAGGTTTTCTGGCCCTGCCCTTTATACATAGGGATTATTACAAGTCAAGGTGAGATTTGGGTTGGGACACAGCCAAACCATATCAGTAACCGATATTAGATACCAGAGAGAAAGCAGAGCTGAAGATGACACGTATTTTAGCCTAGAGGCCCTTGCTGTTGAATCTTAAATCCAGGCATAATGGTAACACCTCATTTTATTAAATATTCTGAAGTAAGGTGAGGACTCCTAATGGTTATTTGTAGGATAAGTAATAGGAGAAGGGGGAATGAGTTTTTGTGGATGTGTACAACAGCGGGTAATTGGGTCCAACCTTCCTTACAAGGGGATTCTCATTTTAAGATTAGGAAAATGTCATACAGAGAGAGATTTTAAAGGACTAAGAGAAATAGCTCAATTTTTTTTCACCTCCTTATACAGAGAAATACCACAGAAAGGACAAGATGTGATCAAACTTTCTAAGAGACACAGAATTAAAACATAGAGAAACAAGAACTATTTTTAAGTGAAATAAAACATCAGAGTCAAGATCAGGAACTTGTTTGTTTGCCAATTCAGTATCTCCTGGACAACTTCCTAAATCTGTATCAAAGTCCTGAGTCATCACATTTGATTTAATTTTTAGCTCCATTTAACTTCTACTAGATCATATGCAGACCTAATTTTCATCTGAGTCACTTCTATACTCTCCTGTCACCAAAAATAGAGTTTAAATTATACAATAGACTTATAAGTATTTCAAATACCATTACAGGTAATACAATCAGAGAATCATAATAGCCCGTATATCCAAAAACATTAGTGATTATACTTATTGCTTCTTGTCCTAAAGTAAGACAGCAATATGAAGAATAACAAACATTCAGGTGTTCATTCTATGAATATTCATCTGTGTTAGATTATTCTCAGTTGCAGTAACATTCAGTCCTTGGATTAAAAGTTAGGAGGGGTTCATCCATGAGAAATGTGAAAAACAAAAAGAAAACACACATTACCCTATGTATTACCACATTAGACAGGAATTCAGGGGTAGGGGTTAAGGTAGACTTCACAGGAAAAGGGAAACTCTATACAGTTGGGCCTCAGGTAGACTAAATTATTTTGCTAGTTGGATGTTTGCCCAAAATTCACTGCAATGTGAGCTTCCATGCTACTACTTTAGTTGTTGGACTTCAGAATCTCTTTCAACAACATAGATCAGTAACTCAACTCATGTTGTCTATACTCTTTCTTGTATATCTTTTTTTTCCTTCCATCCCCACTATCACCTGACTTAATTCTCTGTATCTCCAGTTCAAGCTCTGGGGAGAGATAATTACCCTATTATCCACTAGTTAGCTTACAGATTGGCTACAGTTGGAACAGATTATCTTTCACCGCTCTCCCACCTGTGATGTCAACTGAATGTGGTTATTTCTGTTAAAATGGGGCTCTGGACACAGTTGGCATTCTGCAGTTTTGACTGCCCAATGTATATGTGATATCAGTAACCAAAGCAAAATATCTTTTAAAAACACAGTGATAGGATTTTCTACCATTTTTATTTTAAATAATTATTTGGTATAAAAAGCATATTTAATAATATATAATAACATAATTTGGTAGATATATTACTGGTATGTTTATTTAAATATTGACAATAATATGTTTTAATAAAATGAATAATTTTATAAATTATTTTTCACTTAATTTTCACGTATAATTACTAAAAAAATTCTATGAAGCATGCAGGCAATATATGTTTCTCTCACTTAGCACATTAGTTTAAGGTTGGCCCTCAATAAATAAATTGTAAAGCAGGATTGTGCCTTTCCCCAGATCACTCAGCCAGGGAATAATAGAGCCAAATCGAAGCTCAGGTCTTTGTATCACCAGTAATGTGCCCCTCATATGTAGCTAAAAGCTCTTTCTACAGTACCTAGCAGCTCAATGGGAATCAACTGGTAGAGAGATTTGTTTTTTAAATACTAAAGGAAAAGCCTAGATAATGTATGCTAGCAATACATTTTTATGTCTGGAAGATAAACTGCTTTTACTTCTGAACATTTCTATGTTGTGGACTCTGTATTAGGTCATTCTTGCATTGCTATAAAGAAATACCTGAGACTGGGTAATTTATAAAGAAAAGAGGTTTAACTTGCTCATGGTTCTGCAGGCTGTACAGGAAGCATGAGGCTGACATTCTCATGGCTTCTGGGGAGGCCTCAGGAAACTTACAATCATGACAGAAGGCAAAGCGGGGAGCAGGCACGTCACATGGCTAGAGGAGTAGGAGCAGGAGAGAGAGCTGGGGGGGTACCACATGCTTTTATACGACCAGATCTTGTGAGAACTCACTCACTATCACAAGGACAGCATCAAGAGGATCATGCTAAACTATCCACGAGAATTCCACCTCAATGATCCAAACATTTCCCACAAGGCCCCACCACCAACACTGAGGATTACATTTCAACATGAGATTTGAGTAGAGCAAATAGTCAAACTATATCAGACACACTCAGGGCTTAAACGTTAGGATTGTACTCATATACAAGGTAAACCTCCTCAACTCTCAATTTCTCTGCTTAAGCAATCATTCTAGCTTAGTCAGTTAGGGTCAAAAGCATGTACATGGTATTTGACAAGATGACTGTAGAGATGATGTCTTACTCAGAAGAGAGAGATCTAGTGAGAGATGTGGGTACAAGATGTCCTTTTTTTTTCACTGTCTTATAAATGTAATATAAAATGGGAATTTGAAGAGAAGGTTCATGATATTACTGCCCAGATTGCCTTTCTATAACAAGGGAGTATTATTACCACTGGGAAAAATTCTCAATATGAACAATGTACGATAAAATGCTAAATTAACAAGTCAAGGTAATTGCTTGCTCCCTTTGCCCCCGATGAATTAGTGCAAATTGCATTTCACACTAATTGGTCCACAAAATTCATGCACAATAGGAACACTGGGATTTCTTCAGTTTTGCTTGTAAATGTATATATACATACAAATAACAAGACTGTTTCTTTATTTTAATAGTTTGTTACAGACTAATAGGTGCACTAATTAGTCTACCTCTCCAAGGTGATCTTGAAAACAATAATAATTAGTAGTTCTTGGTGAAATATAACCAGAGAACAAAAAAATGGGTGCTGCGTTTATGTCAGAAAACTTTAAAATATGTGAAATCTTAGAATATAAAGTTTTCAAATAAAAGAGATATTAAATTACCCTATTTTAAACGTTGCTTCTAACATTGTTGCAAATTCTTTGCTGATGAGAATAATCAATCAAGTGCTTTCTAGTGTTTTTATTATTACAACCTCTTTTAATCTTCCTCTACTTCATGGTGCCATTCTTAGAAATAGTATTGCCTTTAAAATTATATTTTCTAAATAATGACTAATTTTGTTGTCCATTTTCTATTAACTGTAATAGGTAACTGTTAATCAGGGCTTCAGAGTTATGGTTTGAGTGTTACTGTGCTTGATTGACATAATCCCAGACTAGAGCAAAACCATGGGATGTATAGTTAGTTATGGGATATTTCACCGAGAGTAAATATGTAACTTCTACTAGGCTACTTGAAAATGTTGGGCAGACAGTAATCACTTTTGAGGCTACTCGTTTGCTCTAAAATGCCAAATTTAAAATCCCATACATAATCTCATTTGGAACAAGCAAACAACATAAAACAGGCAAGGAAGGGAAATAGCCTTATCCTTGATAAGAGCTTTGGGGACTCTATCAAGTCCTGGATTTTTATTTGTTCATTTTTCATTTATTTATTGAGCATGTGCTTTGTGCAAGACTCTCTTAAGATGTTAACAAGCCAATGAGAGGAACATGAAAGTAAGCAATTATGGTACGGTGTGACAAAGGCCATGCTACGGGATGATTCAAGTCTGGTGTACTGGCAATGATGAGTTCTGGATCTTGCTCTTGATTCCAGCAGGAAAGTTATTGATGTTTCTTCTGGAGATTATGTTCAGTACAGATAGCATTATTGGTACAATTTCAAGGCTCTTGATTCTCTGTCTTTTTTAACATACCTGGTTCTATGGAAGTCTAGCTGGTATTATAAATGGTTACTTGATCATTTTATCACTGATAGCCTGCTCTGTGTGATGTTTCCAATAGCTGTCACTTTAAGACAGGCTTTTTGTTTGGTTTAAATTAAACCCAACAGAGGGACGCTGAATTCCAAAAAAGTCGTTGATGATCATTGTGGAATAGTGTTCTCTCATAATTTATTTCAAATTTTAGATTAGCGTACAATTGGATTCAGAAAAGAAGTGCAGGACATAGTCTATAAAGTAATAACACATATCTGTGTTGCTCATTTTAAAAATGGATTTGCGGCTGGGTTTTATTTGAAGATAAACGTAAGCATGTCTTTTAGGATGAAAA
Source organism: Homo sapiens (assembly GCF_000001405.40). Classification (NCBI taxonomy): domain Eukaryota; kingdom Metazoa; phylum Chordata; class Mammalia; order Primates; family Hominidae; genus Homo; species Homo sapiens. Next base: position 51,346,367 of record NC_000010.11, read on the forward strand.
TATGTATTATACACTTAATTATTTTAATGCTTTCAACATTCTAGTGAGAGTTATAAAATACTGCCACTTCTGCATAAAGAAATTAAGATTTTTATCTAGAGTCCTAATAAATATTTCTCAAGTGAAATTTTGAGGAAATGCAGCAATGTAAGTGGAATCAAGCAACTGTTTTATGTTACTTTTTATACTAAAATCACTGATTTGAGGGCCATATAGGCATATTTTGGCATACTCAGAATTAAAGGCAGAGTTACTTGAGCTGTTAAGCCTAATGCCATTGCCTATTATGAATATTACAAAAAAGCAATCACTTTTTCTGTTATCCAACTGACATTTCCTTCATGAGTATAACTTCACTGAATTTGACATCTGCAAAGCATATTTGATGTTAGATAATACTTTCCAATTATAATGACATGGTAATTTGCTAGCATTGGAAGTATTATAGAATACTACCTCATGATACCTAATCTTCCTCTGTTTTATTTGTGGGGCTCTCTTAAATTGAATAAAGACTTTGTGGCTCTCTTGTGTAAACCGCTTCACTCAAACCTTACTCAGTAACAAATTTATTTTACAGACATAGAATGGGCTTCAAAGCTCAGTACAATCAGTAGCTTGATGATGTTGCCGAGGACCTGGGATGCTTCCCTCTCACCTCGTGGCCTCAGCATCCTGAGTCTGGTTATTTTCGTGGCCACAGATGAATGCCAATAGCCACTGCGGCCACATGCTTCCCTGTTCATGAAAAAAACTGGTTTTTTTTTCTACCACCAAGACAATTTAGAATACTTGCACACCCCTGGATCAATAAGAGTCACTAGAAGAATGCCAACACACTGATTACCTGAGGCTAATGAGTTATATGCCCTTGGAGTTGGGGTTAAGCACCTCGCCCTGGATCATGTTGAAGAAGAGTGAATATTGAAGAAGAGTGAATATCTGAATACAATTAGCATTCTTTTAACGACGGAAAAGCTTAGAAGATGGAAGGCATTAGGTATCAATAGACTATGTACAATATTCTTTCTAACGAAGAATGGATACTTCAGTTCCTCAGTTCCTGGAACTCTTGATACTTTTATATAACTTGATCTTATGAATGAATTGCTTGGTAGGAAGATGGTTGTTGGAATACCAGCCAGACAGTAGTCCCCCTAAAAACTGGTAATGCCATTTTTAGTGAAAATGTGATAGTTTCTCGTTGGTTTTCAAATAAACTTTTTTGGTCCTTTTATGGATAGTCAGATGAACTTGTTTACCCATGTCTCTGGGTCTAAAATGAAAATAAGATTAACAGAAGGCTTTACAATCATCGTTCTTCTTGAAATCGGTAAACATTCTCTTCTGGGATTCTCAGTGGTGTAACAGGCCAGATTTAGCACCGGTTATCAGAACATAAAAGTCAACAAAGGCTGGGCGCGGTGGCTCACACCTGTAATCCCAGCACTTTGGGAGGCCGAGGCAGGCGGAACACGAGGTCAGGAGATCGAGACCATCCTGGCTAACACGGTGAAACCCCTTCTCTACTAAAAATACAAAAAAAATTAGCCGGGCATGGTGGCGGGTGCCTGTACTCCCAGCTACTCGGGAGGCTGAGGCAGGACAATGGCGTGAACCCGGGAGGCGGAGCTTGCAGTGAGCCGAGATCATGCCACTGCACTCCAGCCTGGGTGACAGAGCGAGACTCCATCTCAAAAAAAACAAAAACAAAAACAAATGGCAACAAAGTTTGGGGAGAAAACACGTAACTTAAGAGAAAGTAATGCTAAATCTTAATTTAAAATATAATAAACCTATCACATTGGAATAAAATACTTACACCAAAGGCCACTTAAGTCCACATATCAAGTTTACTCTGTACCTTACCTCCCACACACACTCTCCTGCCCTTAAACCGATATGTGCAATCATCCTTTTCTCTGTTAATCAGAGAAAGATTATACATTTGATCTCTGTTAGCCCGTCAGTGGAATCTTGAGATGCACAACAAATTAAATATATAATCTTTCAAAATAAAATTAACTTTTCAAAGAAGTTCAGTAATTTTCCTTACACCGTAAGGCAACCTGCTAGTAACCACAACCTCCAGGTGAGTGCCTTGGAATTTTACTCTGACCTTCTCCATCAAGAGTGGATCCTGCCTAGAAACATAAAACAAGCGCATTAGAGATCCCACACAATGATGTTTATTCACTGAAGAAATAAAGCCTTTTTTAAAAGACTATTTTTTACCAGATTGTCTCTCTTAGCAGGTGATACTTCTCCTCTTGAGCTCAGGTATCAACCTGTAGTGAAGCTTTAAGGAAGTCTAGTGAGAACTCGACCTTGGTCTCATTTCTTGCACTAACATGTATCTACTGCACTTACCTCTAACATTGCCACTTATTCTGACATATCCCATCAATATAAAAAAACTGAGTGAAGTGTACTGCATCCATTCTTCAGTGTGACTGGTATGTCACAACATTTGAGTTTCCCTGATTTGTGTAGGGGTTTCTGAGTTCTTTTTCATTTTTTTTCCCTATGTGATACCATTTTGGGCTAGGGAAAAATCTACTCATTGGTAGCAGGTGAAATCCGGAGCTAGGAAGATATAAAATAGCTCACTTGGCGGCATTCATACTTGAGACGATAGTGAGATGATGCTAATTAATCCCTTACCATAAGTCAGACCTGGTGTGCCCAAGTGTTGTCGTCATCTTCCATCAAAGCCAAGGTAAGCACTGTATTACCTCTCCTTCATTCGATGAGGAGTCTCAGACTTAGAGGAGTAAAATAGCTGCCTGACATAGCACATCTCAAACCTGCTAATATTGGTGTCTCCTGCTGGTGCTGGAAGTGTGTACATTTGTGGTTTTGTGTGGAAGACTACGGATTTCTGTTTCTTCCATGTAGTGAAATATATGGCCAGTGACCTATTGTCAAGGTGAGAGTTTAGAACCATACTTATATCATCTCTGACCTAATTGTAAAAGCATAGGATATTTTCTTAGACCAACATTATATTTGCCAAAATCCTAAGAAATTTTAGTGTGTATTTTGTTCAGAGAAGATAAAAAATTGTTTACTTTGAGTTCATATTGTTTGTGTGTGTGTGTGTGTGTGTGTGTGTGTATGTGTGTGTGTATGTGTATGTGTCCTTTTTTTTTTTTTTTTAGATGAAGTCTTGCTCTGACACTCAGGCTGGAGTGCAGTGGCATGATCTTGGCTCATTGCAACCTCTGCCTTCCAGGATCAAGCGATTCTCCTGCCTTAGCCTCCCAAATAGCTGGGACTACAGGCATGCACCACCACGCCCAGCTAATTTTTGTATTTTTAGTAGAGACGGGGTTTCACCATGTTGGCCAGGCTGGTCTTAAACTCCTGACCTCAAGTGATCTGGCTGCCTCAGTCTCCCAAAGTGCTTGGATTACAGATGTGAACCACATACAGATACCATGTATGTGTATCTTTAAGCTGAGTACACATTCTCTCTAGAGATTCTCAGTGGAGTACCAAGAAATAAAGAGAACTGCTAAATTGGATAGATAATTATAAGGCACAGCTTCTGCCCTAAATGAGCTTACTCTCTATAGAAAAGGCAAGGGCAAGATGCACTCAGACAAATTTAATTTTAAGGAACATAAATACCATGGAGTTAAGGGGAGGAAGGATAAAACTTAGGGTCATATAATAATAACCATAAATCATTTTGATCACTTCTGTGCTAATGACTGTGCTGAGTTCATTATTTGAATTCATAATGAATTTGCCATATCATTCATATAGTAGAGTTATGGAAGTTTCCACAAGTGGAGCTGGACCAGTTATGTGAATTCATCCAGTCAGACTCACATGGCCTCAGCCAGTCCACAATGTACCCTCCCCAAGATAGACTGACCTAATGACAAGGCCATTGAAAGCTCAAACATCCCAACTCACTAATACAGATGATAAAGGAACCCAGAGTACAGGAGGTCTCAGGTAAATATTGGTAGTGGGGAGTCAGGTAGATGGGTTCTACCTCTAAAACCTTGGATAGGATGCTAACTAAATAACTCACATTCTATATGGAATGAACATACCTCAACATAATAAAAGCCACATACTACAGACCCACAGTTAGTATCATACTGAATGGGAAAAAAACTGGAAGCTTCTTTTCAGTTTTTAGAAAGGAGGCCCACTTTCAGCATTGTTACTCAACATAGTACTGGAAGTCTTAGCGAGAGAGATCAGATGAGAAAGAAATAAAGAGCATCTAAATCGGAAAGGAAGAAGTCAAATTATCCTTGTTTGCAGATGATATGATCTTATATTTGGAAAAACCTAAAGACTCTACAAGAAAACTATTGGAACTGATAAGCAAATTCAGCAAGTTGCAGAACAAGAAATCAACATACAAAAATCAGTAGCATTTCTTTTTCTTTAATATACTTTAAGTTCTGGGATACATGTGCAGAACGTGCAGGTTTGCTGCACAGGTATACGCGTGCCATGGTGGTTTGGTGCACCCATCAACCCGTCATCTACATTAGGTATTTCTCCTAATGCTATCCCTCCCCTAGCCCCCCATCCCCTGACAGGCCCTGGTGTGTGATGTTCCCCTCCCTGTGTCCATGTGTTCTCATTGTTCAACTCCTACTTATGAGTGAGAACATGTGGTGTTCGGTTTTCTGTTCCAGTTTGCTGAGAATGATGGTTTCCAGTTTCATTCATGTCCCTGCAAAGGACATGAACTCATGCCTTTTATGGCTGCATAGTATTCCATGGTATATATGTGCCACATTTTCTTTATCCAGTCTATCATTGATGGGCATTTGGGTTGGTTCCAAGTCTTTGCTATTGTGAACAGTGCCGCAATAAACATATGCATGCATGTGTCTTTATAGTAGAATGATTTATAATCCTTTGGGTATTTACCCAGTAATGGGATTGCTGGGCCAAGTGGTATTTCTGGTTCTAGATCTTTGAGGAATCGCCACACTGTCTTCCACAATGGTTGAACTAATTTACATTCTCACCAACAGCGTAAAAGTGTTCCTATTTCTCCACATCCTCTCCAGCATCTGTTGTTTCCTGACTTTAATGATCGCCATTCTAACTGGTATGACATGGTATCTCATTGTGGTTTTGATTTGCATTTCTCATCATCAGTGATGATGAGTTTTTTTTTCATATATTTGTTGGCCACATAAATGTCTTCTTTTGAGAAGTGTCTCTTCATATCCTTTGCTCACTTTTCAATGGGGTTGTTTGTTTTATCTTGTAATTTGTTTAAGTTCTTTGTAGATTCCCTTTTTCAGATGGATAGATTGCAAAAATTTTCTCCCATTCTGTAGGTTGTCTGTTCTCTCTGATGATAGTTTCTTTTGCTGTGCAGAACTCTTTAGTTTAATTAGATCCCAGTTTTCAATTTTGGCTTTTGCTGCCATTGCTTTTGGTATTTTAGTCATTAAGTCTTTGCCCATGCCTATGTCCTGAATGGTATTGCCTAAGTTTCCTTCTAGGGTTTTTATGGTTTTAGGTTTTACATTTAAGTCTTTAATACATCTTGAGTTAATATTTCTATAAGGTGTAAGGAAGGGGGTCCAGTTTCTGTTTTCTGCATATGGCTAGCCGTTTCTCCCAACATCATTTATTAAATAGGGAATCCTTTCCCCATTGCTTGTTTGTGTCAGGTTTGTCAAAGATCAGATGGTTGTAGATTTGTGCTATTATTTCTGAGCTCTCTGTTCTGTTCCATTGGTCTGTAGATCTGTTTTGGTACCAGTACCATGCTGTTTTGATTACTGTAGCCCTGTAGTATAGTTTGAAGTCAGGTAGCGTGATGCCTCCAGCTTTGGTCTTTTTGCTTAGGATTGTCTTGGCTATGCAGGCCCTTTTTTGGTTCCATATGGAATTTAAAGAATTTTTTTTTTTCTAATTCTGTGAAGAAAGTCAATGGTAGCTTGATGGGGATAGCATTGCCTCTATAAATTACTTCGGGAAGTATGGCCATTTTCACGGTATTGATTCTTCCTATCCATGAGCATAGAATATTTTTCCATTTGTTTGTGTCCTCTCTTATTTCCTTGAGCAGTGGTTCTATATGCCAGCAGTGAACAATCTGAAAAGGAAATTTTAAAAGTATTCTCAGTTATAATAGCCACAAGTAAAATTAAGTACCTAGGAATTAACAAACAAAGAAGTGAAAGATCTCTACAGTGAAAACTATAAAACACTGAAGAAGGAAATTGAAGAGGACACACACCAAAAAAATGGAAAGATATTCCATGTTCCTGATTTGGAGGAATAAATATCATTAAAATGTCTATACTACCCAAACCAAATACTACTCAAAGCAATCTACAGATTCAATGCAATCCCTATGAAAATACTAATGCCGTCCTTCATAGAAATAGAAAAAAAATCCTAAAATTTGCATGAAATCAGAAATACCCAGAAGAGTCAAAGTTATATTGAGCAAAAATAACAAAACTGGAGGAATCATATTACCTGACTTCAAATTATATTACACAGCTACAGTAACTAACACATCATGGTACTGGCAAAACAAACAAACAAAACAAACAACAACAACAACAAAATAAAACAGACACAAAGACCAACGGAACAGATAGAGAACCCAGAAACAAATCCACACATCTACAGTGAACTAATTCTCAATAAAGGTGCCAAGAACATTCATTGGGGAAAAGACAGTCTTTCAATAAATGGTGCGGGGAAAACTGGATGTTCATATGCAGAAGAATGATGCTTAATCCCTCTCTCTCATCTTATACAAAAATAAAATCAAAATAGATTAACAATTTAAAGCTAAAACCTCAAACTGTGAAACTACCACAAGAAAACACTGGGGAAACTCTCTAGGACATTGATCTGGGCAAAACATTTCTTGAGTAATACCACACAAACACAGGCAACCAAAGCAAAAAATGAATAAATGGGATCACATCAAGTTAAAAAGCTTCTGCACAGCAAAAGAAACAATTAACAAAGTCAGGATACAACCCATAGAATGGGAGAAAATATTTTCAAACTCTCCGTCTGACAAGGGATTAATAACGAGAATATAGAATGAGCTCAAACAACTCTACAGGAAAAAAGTATAAGAATGTGATTTAAAAATGGGCAAAAGATCTGAATAGACATTTGTCAAAAGAAGACATACAAAATGGCAAACAGGCATATGAAAAAGTGATCAACATCACTGATCATCAGAGAAATACAAACGCTACAATGAGATATCATCTCACCTCAGTTAAAATGGCTTTTATCCAAAAGTCAGGCAATAACAAATGCTGGCGAGGATGTGGAGAAAAGAGAACCCTCATACACTGTTGGTGGGAATGTAAATTAATGCAACCACTATGGAGAACAGTTTGAAGTTACCTCAAAAACCTGAAAATAGTGATACCATATCATCTGGCAATCCCACTGCTGGGTGTATACCCAAAAGAAAGGAAATTAGTAAATCAAAGAAATAACTGGACTCTCATGTTTGTTGCAGCACTATTTACAATAGCCAAGATTTGTGTTCATCAACAGATGAATGGATAAAGACAATGTGATATCTATATCTAATGGATATAAATATCCAACTATTCCACCATAAAAAGGAATGAGATCCAGTCATTTACAACAACATGGATGGAACTGGAGGTCATTATGTTAAGTGAAGTAAGCCAGGCACAGAAAGATAAACAACATATATTCTCACTTATTTGTTGCTTCTAAATATCAAAATATCCAAACTATTAAACTCATTGAGATAGAGAGGAGAAGGATGGTTACAACGCTGGGAAGGGTCGTGATGGGGGCAGAGAGGTGGGGACGGTTAATGGGCACAAAAAAAAAAATTAGAAAGAATGAATGAGACCTAATACTTGATAGCACAACAGGAAGACTGTAGTCAATAATAATTTAATTGTACATTTAAAAATAACTAAAAGAGTATAATTGGATTGCTTGTACCCCACAAAGGATAAATGCTTGAGGGGATGAATACCCAACTTTCTGTGATGTGATTATTACACTTTGCATGTCTGTATCAAAAAATATCATGTACCTTATAAACATATACAGCTACTATGTACCCGGAAAAATTATTAAAAAATAAAAATCATTCTATTCTGTATTTTTATCAATAAATTGAGATTTAAAATATCATTTTCCCATATAAAACTTCCATATATAATTATAGCTGAATAATACAATACAACAAATGTAAAAATCAACTACACACTGTACATCAGAATAGTCTAACATCCTGTTTCCAACTGGATAGATGTCCTAATTTATTCTCCATGTTGTGTAATTTTTCTGTCTCACACATATTGCTTTGAGATAGTTACTAATCAATGTAAGAATCTGAAGAAAACTTCTTTGTTTCCAGGTCTTCATAATACTAAAACTTTTAAAGGAGACAGGCTGTGTTGTCTATGGGAAGGCTTGGGGTGGGGGAGATAAACAAGCCAGTGTTACTTGTCTGTTTTGATTAAAGATATCAAAAAACAGATTAAGGGTCTTTCATCTGTGCTGTGTAGGCTCAGATGCTGACAGTTATAGGGAGGACCCTCCCTCTGAGCATGGTAGCAAATGTCTGGGCATAGGAATGGCATAGCAAATTTCAGACTCAGATGCATAAATTAGAGTCTGATTTCTCCATTTATTAACTGTATGCTTTTTACAGATTTGTGACATGACTAAGCCTTAATTTTCTCATCCATAAATGGGTCCATACAACATGGGATTGTTTAATCATGAAATCAAATAACACACAAGTAAAATGCTTAACATGGTACTTGGTGCATAATAAGTCCTCAGTAAAGGATAGCTTTATTACTATTGTTATTTCCATCTGTA